>NT_167246.2:3368872-3406638 GCF_000001405.40 Homo sapiens
GGCCAATATTTACAATTAAAGTAATAGTATCCATGTTAACAGGATTCAGTGTTGTTTTAAAAATAAATGGGTATTAATTTGGGAGCTTAGAGAACACATACAATTTTTCCCACTGAAATCAGTGATAATTATGAGAATTTGCCCTAAGCGGTTTTCAGGAACTACCTACCTTCCTCAGAAGGGAAAGACTGCAGTTATCTCTCATTGTGTGTGAGAGCCAAGCCACACTCCCGCCCACCCTTCACGACAGGTATGGTTATTCCTTCTTTACAGATGAGGAAAAGGATGTACAGAGAGGTCGTGTGTCTGTTTTTTGTTTGCTTGTTTTGTTTTTTTGAGACAGGGTCTCACTCTGTCACACAGGCTGGAGTGCAGTGGCTCGATCTCGGCTCACTGCAACCTCCGCCTCCTGGGTTCAAGCGATTCTCCCGCCTTAGCCTCCCGAGTAGCTGGGACTACAGGCATGTGCCACCACACCCAGCTAATTTTTGTATTTTTAGTAGAGATGGGGGTTTCATGATGTTGGCCAGGCTGGTCTCGAACTCCTGACCTCAAGTGATCTGCCCCCTTCGGCCTCCCAAAGTGCTGGGATTACAGGCATGAGCCACCGTGCCCAGACAGGTTGTGTGAGTCTCTTGAGGACACACAGCTCAAATGGGCTGAAGCTATGGTCAACCCCAGGTGTGCCTCAGTCTGTGTTATTTTCCTGGTCCCCCACCTCTTTGGGAACCCAAAAAGCCCATGTGTAACGGGCAGAAGACCTGGGGCAATACCAAAGTCTCGGAGTGAAGGCACCAGCAGAACCATTCCCAGGAGCTTGGGAGGCTTGGTCTCAGGGAAAGTAAAATAAAGCCACCAGATACTGACAATAAAAGGGAAACTGAGTCTAGTTCAGGGCAGGGCCCAGTGCCCTACTGCACACTCACCAGTTAAACCAACAGCAGACACGGGGCCCACGCGCTGGCCACCGTGGAAGCCGTACAGGTTCATCTTGTACTTGTGGTCTGGCTCCAGGCCCGAGATGGTGACCCCATCCTCGTGTCCCGGCACCCGCACCGCCTTGGGCTGCCCGTCCCCATTCTTAAACTGGACCAAGAAATGGTCAAACTGGCCCTCGGGGACTGTCCAGGAGAGGCTGAGGGAGTCGGAGGTGATGTCTCTCACTGTCATCTGCCCTAGGCGCAGCTTTGCAAGAGGAGCATCAGGGGACTCCTCTTCGGGGGCTAGGAAGAGATAGAAACAGAATCTTTTCTCTTGCTGCAAGGAGGTGTTGAGGCCCCAGCTGTCTTGAATTCAGGTCAGAAGGTGGGCCCAGTCTGGCCCTAACTTAAGATCGATTTCTGATTATAATCATAATCAGATTTTGTGGCTTCCTTATGGTCCCTCAACCATGCCAGGCAGCCTCCTACCTCAGTACTTTTACAATGACTGTTCCCTCTACCTAAATGTTCTTTCCCCAGATATCTTCATGGCTCATCCCCACACTTCCTTTAAGTCTTTGTTCAAAAGCCACCTTCTTCTGTGGGCCTTCCCTGATTACTCTATTTAAAATTTCAGTTTTCTCAATTGCAATGTATCCTCCTTCTATAGACCTGATTTCAGCAACAAATTGGGAAACAACAATTATGAGACACTCGGGAGACTGTAGCACTACCTGGATACTTGATATCAAGGCATGATTGTTCACTTATCAAGGTATGCTAATTGTATTGTGGAATTTTATTATTTATTTATTTATTTTTTGACACAGAGTCTCACTCTGTCACCCAGGCTGGAGTGCAGTGGCGCGATCTTGGCTCACTGCAACCTCCACCTCCTGGGTGCAAGCAATTTCTTGTGCCTCAACCCCCGCCAAGTAGCTGGGACTACAGGCACGTGCCACCACGCTCCGCTTTTTTGTACTTTTTAAAATTTATTATTATTATTATTATTTTTAGTAGAGACGGGGTTTCACCATGTTGGTCAGGCTGGTCTTGAACTCTTTACCTCAAGTGATCCACCTGCCTTGGCCTCCCAAAGTGCTGGGATTACAAGCGTGAACCACCTCACCTGGCCATATTGTGGATTTTTTAAAAATAATTTTTTTAAAAAGAGATATACCTTTAAATATTTAGTGATGAAAGCATAGGATGTCTGTGGTTCGTTTTTAAAATACTGCAGTAGTATAACCACACAATGCAATACTGTTTGGCAATAAAAAGCAGTGTAGTGGCTGAGAGAGAGCAGGTGGCTCATGCCTGCTATCCCAGCACTTTGTAAGGCCCAGGCAGGAGGATTCCTTGAAGCCAGGAGTTTGATATCAGCCTGGGTAACACTGTGAGACCCCATCTCTACAAAAAATTTTTTTAAATTAGCTGAGTGTGGTGGCGAGCACCTGTGGCCCCAGCTACCTGGGGGGCTGAGATGGGAGGATGGCTTGAGCCCAGGAGTCTGGGGCTGCAGTGAGCTATGATCATGCCACTGCACTATAGCCTGGGCAATAGAGTGGGAATTTGTCTCAAAAAAAATCAATCAATCAATCAATCAATCAATCAATAGCAATGTAGTAAGTATAGTACTTCTACATGCTACATTGATGAACCTCAAAAACATTATGCTCAGTGAAAGAAGCTAGACACAAAAGAATACATATTGTTTGAGTCCATTTATACGAAATGTTCTGGAACAGCAATCTACAGAGAAAAAAGTAGATTAGTTATAAACTAGGGCTGAGGTAGGAATGGGTCTGGACCCAAGATTTCTTTTGGGGGTGATGGAAAAGTTCTAAAATTAGATCGTGGTGATGGCTGCACAAGTAGGTAAAGATACTAAAATCAGTAAGTTGTACACTAAAAACAAGTGTATTTTATGCCACATGAATTATATCTCCATAAAGGTGTTAATAAAGAAAACATTCAGGCCGGGTGTGGCGGCTCACGCCTGGAATCCTATCACTTTGGCTGAGGTGGGAGGATAACTTGAGCCCAGGAGTTCGAGACTGGCCTGGGCAACATGGCTAAACCCTGTCTCTACAAAAAATACAAAAAATTAGCTGGGCATGGTGGAGTGCACTTGTAGTCCCAGCTATTCGGGAGGCTGAAGTGGGAGGATCCCTTAAGCCCAGGAGGTTGAGGCTGCAGTGCAGTGAATTGTGACTGTGCCAGTACACTCTAGCCCAGGCGACAGAGTGAGACCTTGTCTAAAAAGAAAGAAAGAAAAGAATGAAAGAAAGAAAGAAAGAGAAAGAAAGAAAGGAAGGAAGGAAGAAAGAAAGAAAGAAAGAAAGAAAGAAAGAAAGAAAGAAAGAAAGAAAGAAAGAAAGAAAGAAAACATTCTAGTGATTCTAGTGGAGGAAGTGGGTGGGGCAGAGATGAGCCAGACTGGCCAGAAGTCGATATTTGATTGAAGGAGGATGGCAGGGTCTTTGTACTATTCTTTCTGTTTATACATTTGAAATTTTATTTAACAAATACTTATTAATTTAATTAATTTGTATTTCAAAAATGTGTTCCAATCTCACAAAAAGAGTTATGTATAGAGTTCCAAGGAAAAGCGGAGAGCCACAAACCAGCCAGTGAATCACCTCCCAAGAGGCCTCAGTCCCTGGGGGCCTTTCCCATATGGCTCCGACACTTCTCCTGGATTTGCTCTCTCTGTCCCCAGATCACACCTGTCCTGAGCCTTTAGTGAACAGGGTGTATTACAGGTTTGAGGTCTTGGGGTTCTGGGTCCCTAGTGGAGGAGATGCTGGAGGCTGTACTTTGCTAAGACCCAACCCAGAGGGCTCTGCAGTGCACACTCACCCGTGACGCCCACAGCAGACACTGGGCCCACGCGCCGCCCCTCGTGGAGGCCGTACAGGTGCATCTTGTACTTGCGCCCAGGCTCCAGGCCCCCCACGGTGACTTCACTCTCCTCGCCCCCAACACGCACCACCTGGGGCCGCCCGTCCCTGTCCTTGTACTGCACGGTGAAGGAGTCGAAGCGGCCCTGGGGGACGGTCCAGGAGAGGCTCAGCGAGTCAGGGGAGGATCCTGTCACTGTTAGCTCCCCCAGGAGCGGCTCCTCAGCGGGCTCCGGGGCCTCCATGCTGGGTTCTGTGGGGCTGGGGGTCTCTTCCTCTGCAGCTGAGAAGGAGGAAGAGAGAGTGAGGGGGATGTCCTTGGGTACTGGGGAAAAGGAGGGAGAAGCCAAGGCTATGACTGGGGGACCCGAGGTCAGTTCAGAGAGGCCTACTCTTGGGGCTGGGTGGTCCTGCTCAGCTGACAGCTAACACACATGACAAGTTCCAGGGTCAGCTGTGGGGGACCTGGGACAGCCACCAGCACAGCAAAATTCCCGATGGCCCCTCTCTGTTCAGGAGGAGCCAGTGGTCAACCTCACAGGAAGGCCCAAGGGGAGCCCCAGCCCCAGCCACAAGCAGGTCTGTGGTGCTGACCAGACCCTTGTCCCATTCCCCACCAGTCATCACCAAAGAGCAAGAGGGTGACCCTCCCATGGCTCCCACCCTGGGGCTCCCATCATCCACTCACCTGTCACCCCGACGACAGACACAGGGCCCATGCGCTGGCCACCGTGGAAGCCGTACAGGTTCATCTTGTATTTATGGTCTGGCTCCAGGCCCGAGATGGTGACCCCTTCCTCGTGCCCTGGCACCCTCACTGCCTTGGGCTGCCCATCTCCATTCCTGTACTGGACCAGGAAGTGGTCAAACTGTCCCTCGGGAACTGTCCAGGACAGGCTGAGGGAGTCAGGGGTGGCATCTGTCACGGTCAGCTCCCCCAGGCGAGGCTTGATGGGGGGCTCGGGGGTTGCGGTGGGAGGTTCTGAAGGCTTCTCCTCCTCCGGGACTGGACAGAGACATGGAAAGAGAGGACTGAGGTGGGCAGGGTATCCGCGGGACTCTGCTGTCCTCTGGACTCTCCCAGCCATCTGAAAGGAGGCATAGTGGGCAGAGTTCTCACCTGTCAGGGCCTCGACATGGACAGGACCTACATGCTTCCCATCACTGAAACCATACAGGGTCACCAGGTATCTGTGGTCGGATTCCAGGCCAGAGAGGGTGATGTCATTCCGGTCACCTCCTATGCGGACCATTTGGAGTTGCCCGTCTCTATCTGTGTACTGGATTTCGAAGGAGTCAAATTCTCCCTCAGTCACCATCCAGGAGAGATGCAGGGTGTGTGACGTGGCCTCCTCCACTGTCAACTCCCCGAGGTGGGGCTCAGGCGCTGGAGGGGTCGGGGCCGTGGTCTCAGTTTCCGTTTCTTCCCTGCCGGCTGGTTCACAGAGACAGGTAGAGACAGATGGCTGGTGTGTCGCTGCACCCAGACTCTCAGGAGGAGTGAGGGAGGAGAGGGAGTGAGGGCAAGCAGTCAGCAATCGAAAGACCAGCTTTTGCTGCACATGGGTGAATTTCAAAAGCATTGTGCTAATTGCAAGAAATGAAACACAAGAGACTGCGTATTGTGATTCCATTACATGGAGAGTCAAAATGCTGTCTCCAGGATGATCGAAAGCAGACAGTGGTTGCTGGAGGCTGGGACTGGGGCAACTGACTCTAAAGGGGCACAAGGAAACTTTCTGGATCAATGGAAATGATATAAAATGGGAAGCTCAGAGATCTTATGGCTCAGTCAGACCAGGAGAGCCAGGCGGGAAGGAGGCACAGGTGTTCCAGCTGCCGCACACTCACCAGTAATGGCGACGGCCGAGATGGGGCCCACACGCTTGCCGTGGTGCAGCCCGTAGAGCAGCAGCTTGTACCTGTGGGCAGGGTCCAGGCCCGGCACGCTGACCTCCCTGAGGCTGCCCTCCACGGGCACCACCTGGGGCTGCCCGTCCCTGTCTTTGTACTGGACCACAAAGGAGTCAAACTGGCCCTCAGGGACTGTCCAGGAGAGGCCCACGGAGTTCTGGGTCACGGTGGTCACCTGCAGCTCCTCCCCCAGACGGGGTTTTGGGGGACGCTTTGTTCCAGTATCATCCATAGCACTCCGGGCTTCTGAGATGGAGACACGGAGAGGAAACGGCTGAGCTGTTTCTGGAAGACTGGGTGACCTCGACGGGCAGGATTGAGAGGTCTGGAGACAGGGCTTTGCGTGGCTGAGTCCTGCCGGGCTGTGCTAGGGGCTTGTGCAGGGACGTGGGGAGCTGGATCTGAGCCGAGTGGCTGGGGCCAAATAATGGTAATGGCAGCCACCACAAGTGACCGTCTGCTGCTTGGCCTGAGGGGAGCAGAGCAGGGACCTGCAGGGAATGCCCCTCACCCGTGGTGCCGTCGGCAGTGAGAGGGCCATGGCGCTTCTTGCCCAGGAGGCCATAGAGGAGGAATCTGTACTTGCGGCCGGCATCCAGAGGGGTGACAGTGACAGAGCGCTCATGGCCCTCCACGGGCACCACCTGGGGCCCGTCTTTGTCCTTGAACTGGACCACAAAAGAGTCGAACTGGCCCTCAGGAACCGTCCAGGAGAGGCGCAGTGAGTCTGGGGTGGGGTCTGTCACCCACAGCTCCCCAAGGCGGGGTGGGGCCCCTGGGCTGGCGTCACCTCGGGCAACTGGAGAGGAAAGGTTCTTGTGTTTATTTTTTCCAAAACGACTCCTTGACTGCCTCCCTCTGGGGCTGGAAAAACCCAGAACTGCCCAAATGCTCAGTGCTTCCCCAAAATATTTCCATCACCTCCCATCCTCACCACCATCTCCGTCTGGTCCATGCCTCTCTCCCCTTGACCCAAGTGGGGAGGGTCACCTGTCCTGAGTCACCTCCAGGAAAAGAGATTCCCTAGCTCCCTGCCTCATCTTACTCCCCTTTCTGTCCAGCCTCTTTCCGCCTCTCACAGACTGCTTCCCCAGCAGGGTGCAGCTTCTTACAGACTGGGTCTCTATCTCCTCTTACCCAGGAGCACACGATTTGGCCGTGATTTGGCCGGCCCCTGAGGAAAGGGGTGATTTGGCCGGCCCCGAGGAGCGCAGGATCCCTGATGGGGGCACTCGGCAGGTCAGGGAGGCAGGATGTTACGACACAGGTAGTTCTCACCCTTCTCCGTTCCCTTTCTTATTCTGCACCGGCTGGCCCGGGAGAACTAAGGCTCCCACTGGGCCTGGTGAAGGAGCGTGGGCTGCCTGTGAGAATGTTGAGGGGGATGATGCCGGGGAGCTCAGGCAGGGAAGGGATCTGGTGTCTGCCTGAGGAGCCATCCCAGGGCTTGAGAAGGAGCTGGCCTGCTGCCTTCCTGGACGGTGAGGACGCTGACGACATTGTTATTGCAAGTTTTCTGGCAATAGGGAGCCCCCAGGGGCAGGGGAGGGCTTGGACTGAACCCTCGGAAAGGGGCACAGCTGGGCTGGGCTCCTCTGGTTCCCAATTTCTGAGACTTCAGGAGGAGGGCAGAGAAGGAAGGGCAGCCTCTGTAGGAGGCACATATGGGCCCAGACAGGCCTGAGCTAGGAGGGTGAGAACCTGGGTGAGAGTCACAGGGGAGACAACAAAGACTCTCAGGAGGTGATGGATTCGCAAGGCAGGAAGGGTTCCTGGCTCCCCTCGCCCCTTCTCCCAGCACCCCCAGGCTCCCACATCCACCCTGCAGGAAGAGGCCTGTAGGGGCTTCCCTCATCCAACAAAAGTGGAAATTACGAGAAGAGAGGCAGAGTCAGCAGGGGACAGCAGACCCAGGAACTGGCCCCACTCTCCTGGTCCTCATCTGCTTTGCGGCTTTTCTTTCTTTTTTTTTTTTTTTGGTCTTTTTTGAGACGGAGTCTGGCTCTATCACCCAGGCTGGAGTGCAGTGGCGCAATCTCAGCTCCCTGCAGCCTCCACCTCCTGGGTTCAAGTGATTCTTGTGCCTCAGACTCCCGAGTAGCTGGAATTACTAGCACCCATCACCACACCCAGCTAATTTTTGTCTTTTTAGTAGAGACAGGGTTTTGCCATGTTGGCCAGACTGGTCTCAAACTCCTGACCTGCCTTGGACTCCCAAAGTGCTGGGATTACAGGCATGAGTCACTGTGCTAGCCCCATGTGGCTTTTCAAATGAGACAGAGCAGGTGGACAAAGGGAAGACTCAGCAGAGGGAGTGAAGAGAAGGGTGGGAAGGCTGTGGCCTCAGGCTCAGCTGTGTAGGGGCCCATCTCACCCGTCTTTGCCTCCACAGAGACTGGGCTGCGTCGTTTCCCATCCTGGATCCCAAAGAGCAGGAACTTGTACTTGCGGGAGGGTTCCAGGTCAGGGATAGTGACCTCCCGCTGATCTGCAGCCACGGGCACCACCTGGGGCTGCCCGTCCCTGTCCTTGTACTGAACCACAAAGGAGTCGAATTCACCCTCAGGGACTGTCCATGAGAGGCCCACAGAGTCAGGGGTTATATCCGTCACTGTCAGCTCCCCTAGGCGTGGCTCCAGGGGAGGCTTGGAGGCCTCTGTGGCTGGGGCTGGTGGGAGGGGAGCTGGGATTTGGGAAGACAAAGAACATGGTTGAGATCTCTGAGGGGAGAACCCCTGGGCTTTGAGGGCCTCAGGGGGGCTGTGAACTGAGATGGGGAATAGTTACACCTTTACTTCCAGACCTCTAACTGAAATGCAGCATTTCTTTCCAAAACTAATATAGAAAACCCACCAGAGTAGAATTATTGTGACTTTGTTACCAATAGAAACCACAGATGTTTTCATGTCACCTTAGAGTTATTGCAGAAACTTTAAAATACCTTTTATATCCATCACTGCTTCTAAATTTTGTAGTTTAGTAAACGCGCCACCAAGTCCTGTTATTTAATGAACTAGTAAATAAGTCCAAGTATTACTAAATCGTAACTTTGGATTTTTAAGAAATATTTTGGGCCGGGTGCAGTGGCTCATGCCAGGCCGAGGCGGGTGGATCACCTGAGGTCAGGAGTTTGAGGCCAGCCTGGCCAACATGGCGAAACCCTGTTTCTACTAAAAATACAAAAAATTAGCTGGGTGTGGTGGCACGTGCCCGTAATCCCAGTTACTCGGGAGGCTGAGGCAGGAGAATTGCTTGAACTTGGGAAGCGGAGGTTGCAGTGAGCCGAGATCGCGCCATTGCACTCCAGCCTGGATGACAAGAGCAAAACTCCATCTCAAAAATAAAAAAGAAATATTTTGATAACTGTCTATAAATATAATGTTTCCTTTGTAATCCTATACAGCTTATTTTACAGATTTAAAAACATTGCCTTCAGGTGGGGTAGGGGTTTCACCAGATGCCACAGCACAACAATCATGGAGAACCTGTGCCCAGGAAGCCATGAGGGGCAGGAAGGAGCCCAGAGCAAGAGTGAGGCAGCCTCCTGGAGAGATGAAAACTCTCCAGGGCTGGGATGGAATGCAGTGCAGGCAGGTGGCAGAGGACTCCTGAGAAGGGACTCAGGATGTAAAGCACTTCGCCTCAACAAAAAAGGGCAGAAGCAGGAGGTGGCAGCTGTGTCCAAGTCACAGCAGGGTTGTAAAGAGAAGGGGTGGAAACAGCTGTGGGCAGTCGGAGAGGGGGAGAGAAAGTCTGTGGCTGGATTTAGGCCAAATGGAAATAAGACATTCCCCTGGGCGGGGGGCAGAGTGGAGATGGGGAAGGAGCTGGAGGGCTGAGAAGGCTCTAGCCCTGGGAGGAGTAAAGGGGTCAGGGAACAGAAAGACTGGCAGGGTCACCGAGCCAGGGCCTGAGGGGATCTAGCCCCTCAGTGAGGGTGCGGTGGTACCAAGGCAGGGCTGGAAGAAGGGCCATGGGGTGGGGGAGCTCTGGGTAACCAGAGATGAGGACTGAGTCCCCCCATTACTCACCCGTCACGATGACCACAGACAGGGGGCCCATGCGTTGCCCATCATGTAGTCCATACATGTTCATCTTATATTTTCTCTCAGGCTCCAGGTTGTAGACTGTGACCTCTCGCTGGTCTGCCGCCACCGGCACCACCTGGGGCTGCCCGTCCTTGTCCTTGTACTGGACTATGAAGGAGTCAAACTGGCCCTCGGGGACTGTCCAGGAGAGGCCCACAGAGTTGGGGGTCACATCTGTCACTGTCAGCTCTCCTAGGCGTGGCTCCAGCGGGGACTCAGTGGCTGGAGGGGTCTCTTCTTGTTGTGGGGCTGGGACAGAGATGGTAGGGGGCTGTTAGTAAAGAATCCCCCTTTTCTTATAGTAATGATGTCTAGTTATTTATTTTTTATTTTTTATTTTTGAGATGGAGTCTCGCTGTCACCCAGAGCAGTGGGCGACCTCGGCTCACTGCAGCCTCTGCCTCCCGGGTTCAAGCGATCCTCCTGCCTTAGCCTCCCAAGTAGCTGGGACTACAGGCGTGCGCCACCATGCCTGCCTAATTTTGTGTGTGTGTGTATTTTTAGTGGAGACGGCATTTGCCATGTTGGCCAGGCTGGTCTCAAACCCCTGACCTCAGGTGATCCACCTGCCTCAGCCCCCAAAGTGCTGGGATTACAGGTGTGAGCCACCACACCCAGCGATGTCTGTTGCATTTGTGGAACCCGCATGATGGTTTTGATGTAAAAGCGCATTGATCTGAACATCTGTCTGGTCAACAGTCCTTCACTAGGTCCCTGCTCGGTGTCTGAGGCTGCATTTGTTGGGGGAGAAGAGTATCAACCATCACTGACACCCTGGGAGAGCGCTGAAATTCCATCTATATGCCAATGACTCCAGATTTACACCCTCTGTCCAGACCTCCCCTGAACCCCAGACTAGTGTTCGTGCAACGTCTTCCTTGGAGGCCTACTTGTGTGTCAAACTCAACAAGTCCAAAACTGAGCCTCTGAGCTTCCTGACACCTGCTCCCGCCACAGCCTCCCCACCTCAGTAAGATTACAACTTTTTTTTTTTGAGACGGAGTTTCGCTGTTGTTGCTCAGGCTGGTGTGCGATGGCGCCCTCTCGGCTCACCGCAACCTACGCCTCCTGGGTTCAAGCGATTCTCCTGCCTTAGCCTCCTGAGTAGCTGGGATTACAGGCATGTGCCACCACGTCCGGCTAATTTTGTATTTTCAGTAGAGATGGGGTTTCTCCACGTTAGTCAGGTTGGTCTTGAACTCCCGACCTCAGGTGATCCGCCCGCCTCGGCCTCCCCAAGTGCTGGGATTACAGGCATGATCCTCCACGCCTGACCAGGATTACAACTTCATTCTTCCAGCTGCTCAGATCTAAACCGCCAGAGTCATCCCCGAGTCCTCTCTTAAACTCCACATCCGCCCTGTGGGTATCCGCCTGTTGTCACTACCTTCAGAGTCTGACCCCTCCTTGCCACCTCCAAGCACCACTGGCTCCTCCTGGATTATCACAACATTCTCTCAGGTCATCGCCTTCTGCCCTCACCCCCCTTTAGTCTGTTGGGTCTGCAGCCAGAAGGATCCTGTTAACACATTAGCCAGAGCTGGTTCCCGCAGTGGCTTCTACCTCACTCAGGGTGAAATCCAAGTCCTGCACTGGCCTCTGAGGTCCCATATTCATCTCTTAGATCATTCCCTATTGCCTGCCCTCCTCCAACTCCACCACAAAACATACTGCATCCCTCACTGTCTGCAGACATCTGGGGCTGCTTCTCGCCTGCCAGTCTCTGCATTTGCTCTTCCTTCTGTCTGGGATGCTCTTTCCCCAAAGGCCTAGGTGGCTGTCCTCTCACCTCCTTCAGGGCTTTCCTCAGACACTGCCCTCGCAGTGAGGCCCTTGCTGTCTCCCTACTAGGCTCTGCTTTTCCCCACCACTCATCACTGTCACATCCGGTGCCACTGACATATTTGTGCAATTTGTTGCCTGTCCCTCTCCACTAGAATGTGAGCTCCTCAGGCAGGAGCTCTGCTTTATTCACTGCTGTGTCCCAGTCCCTGGCACACAGTAGGTGCTCCACAGATGTCTGTAAAATAATGAGTGGTCTACAGGTCTGGGCTCAGGACCTGCAGATCCCCACCACTCCCGCATGAGGAAGCACTCATTAGTGAGCAAACTAGAAGGTGGTCCCAAGAGGCAAAATGGCAGAGAAGGTGGCTGGATGGGTGGGGCTCCCAAGAACTTGTTTCTCTGGCTTCCTCCGGAGGGCAAGACAAGGCTCCAAGCAAGTGACAACTGCTTAAAACAGGCTGGTGACCAGGCCTCGGGCAGACAGAAATGAGTCAGGCTGGGGAGGGCAGGCATGGAGGCAGCTGAGGTGGTGGGAGGGAGCAGAGTGACCACCAAGTATTGAACATCTACTATGTACAGGTACCAGGCTGGGCATTTTCTCTCATTTCATTTGCCTTCTAACCTTACTTGTTCCTGCAGCACCCATTCCCTGCTCCTTTTTGCCCTCTCTGCACTTCTTTCCATGAGGGAATGAAAATGTCCTTCACCATCAAGCTTTATTGCTGGTGGTTTGGATTAACTGGAAAGGTACAATTATAACGATTCATGACTCTGGCAGTCCCCATGCTGCATGTGGGACAGTCCTTTTCCAATTTAGAAGTGTGTCTAATGAGCTCCACGCACCTCTCCCCCTGGCAACTGCACTGTGTGTGCTGCCAGACACAGCCCCCAGCTTGGCGGACTCCAGCTGCTTCGTCCTTTTGCTGCTCTGATAATGCGCACTGATGCCCATTTCTTTCCTAAAGGGCCTCATCTATTTTATCCAGGACGTGTAAAATACATGTTTCAAAATATCCAGCATTAGAACATGGATATACAGGGATTCCCTCACGGGAAGGTCTGAGCAAAAGATGAATGAGCTGAGAAGATGCCAGACATGTTACATCACCACCTTTAACCGTGACAACAAGCTGGGCAGCGTTTACTCCCTCCTGAATATGAGGAAGCTGAGGTTCCAGGAGAGGAGGTAAGTTTTTCAAGATCATACAGCTGGCTGGGCACGGTGCCTCACGCCTGTAATCCCAGCACTTTGGGAGGCCAAGGCGGGTGGATCATCTGAGGTCAGAAGTTCGAGACCAGCCTGGCTAACATGGTGAAACCCTGTCTCTACTAAAAATACAAAAATTAGCCGGGTGTGGTGGTGGGCGCCTGTAATCCCAGCTACTTGGGGGGCTGAGGCAGGAGGACTGCTTGAACCTGGGAGCCAGAGGTTGCAGTGAGCTGAGATCATGCCACTGCACTCCAGCCTGGGTGACAAAGCAAGACTCTGTCTCAAAAAAATAATAATAAAATAAAAAAATAAAAATCATACAGCTGAGAACAGAGGAAGACAGGAAGGAACTCAGTTTGTCAGATTCCCAAACTCCATTTATCTCTACTGCACCGACTTGGTCAGTGCCTGACAGAGCCCATCCTTACCCCAGGGACCAGGCACAGGGCCTCACAGAGCCCAGTGTGGGTCCCTGGGACAGAGCGGCAGAGGGAGGGTCACTCCAGGAGCAGACTTGGCAGCATGTCTGGGCCTGGCACCAGCCTCCACCCTACAACCTCAGGCCCCAAGGACAGCCACTCAGGGTGGCTTTGCCGTCTCCCTCTTCTCAGGGCTGACTGAGGCAAAGAAAATAAATTGAGGGTGGAAGGTTCTGGAAATGAAATCAACCAAGTCATGATGAGGCTGAGCTTGGTGGAATTACAGAAACCATGTTCTGGAAAACTATCTATTTCTCTACTTTTAATTTTTAAATCTTTCCCCTTATAGTAAAAGTTATTTTTGAGAAAGGTGTGTCTTTGTTTCTGTGAGCAAAGGAAAAAAGAGATTCCCCTCACTGTGACTAAACCGGGCAGGTCAGCCCGAGGGTCCCAGAGGCACTGCTGTCCACTCAGCCTCTTGGGCTGAGGCCCTGGAGAGGAGGTGCCCAGGCTGGTCCTGTGTGGTGGTGGATGTGGCCCTGTAACCAGGCCTGAGAGAAAGGGTGGAAGGGATGTTCTTCTTTGCTGTAAAGTCACTCACTGGATGAGTATTAAAGAAAGCCTTGTGGCCGGGCGTGGTGGCTTATGCCTATAATCCCAGCACTTTGGAAGGCCAAGGCGGGTGGATCACTTGAGGTCAAGAGTTTGAGACCAGCCTGGCTGACATGGTAAAACCCCATCTCTATTAAAAATACAAAAATTAGCCAGGTGTGGTGGTGCATGCCTGTAATCCCAGCTACTCGGGAGGCTGAGGCAGGAGAATCACTTGAACCTGGGAGGCAAAGGTTGCAGTGAGCCAAGATTGCACCACTGCATTCCAGCCTGGGCAACAGAGCTCAAAAAACAGAAAGAAAGGAAAAAAAGAAAGAAAGAGAGAGAGAGAGACAGAAAGAAAGAGAAAGAAAGAAAGAAAGAAAGAAAGAAAGAAAGAAAGAAAGAAAGAAAGAAAGAAAGAAAGAAAGAAAGAAAAAGAGAGAAAGAAGAAAGAGAAAGCTTTGTGGTCAGGCGTGGTGGCTCACGCCTGTAATACCAGAACTTTGGGAGGCCGAGGCAGGTGGCTCACTTGAGGATCTGGAGTTTGAGACCAGCCTGGCCAACACGGTGAACCCCGTCTCTACTAAAAATACAAAAAAGTAACCAGGTGTGGTGGCACGCATCTGTAGTCCCAGCTATTTGGGAGGCTGAGGCAGGAGAATCACTTGAACTTGGGAGGCAGAGGTTGCAGTGAGCTGAGATCGCACCACTGCACTCCAGGCTGGGCAACAGAGTGAGACTCTGTCTCAAAAAAAAAAAAAAAAAAAAAAAGACAAGAAAGAAAAGAAAGCTTGCTTCAAGCTGTACTGATGAAGAGGCCAATGTCTCACGCGCATTCTCCCATCCAAGTACTAACCAGACCTGACCCTGCTTAGCTTCTGAGATCAGAGGAGATGATAGGACACCTTCAGGGTGGTATGGCCTTAGATTCATGTGCATTCTGACCAAGTAACTGAACCAGCCAAAGGGGACAAAGCAGACCTCAGAGTAAGAATATTTATAACAATTCTCACAGCAGACACTGGCAGCATATTTACTTTTGCCAGGCCCATTCTTGATGCTTTACATCTGTTAACTCACTTAACCCTCACAATAACTCTGTGAGGTAGGTGTCCCCATTTTACGGACAAGGAAACAGAGGTGCAGAAAGTTTAAAACTTGCTCAGGGCCATGAAAGCTGGTGGTACGCCAGTCCCCAGTGACATGCTCTTTCTAGGTCTTCCCCTGGCAGGCAGCCTCAAGGTTCCACTGGAGCAAGGAGAGCAACTGGCTACAGGGAAGCTGGGAGCCAGCAGTGGGAGGGAACCAAAGCAGGCCCCTGCCCCTCACTCACCTGTCACGCCCACGGCGGACACCGGGCCCACGCGCTGCCCCTCGTGGAGGCCGTACAGGTGCATCTTGTACTTGTGCCCGGGCTCTAGGCCTCCCACGGTGACCTCACTCTCCTTGCCCCCAACACGCACCGCCCGGGGCCGCCCATCCCTGTCCTTGTACTGCACGGTGAAAGAGTCGAAGCTGCCCTGGGGGACGGTCCAGAAGAGGCTCAGCGAATCAGGGGAGGATCCTGTCACTGTCAGCTCCCCCAGGAGCGGCTCCTCGGGGGACTCCGGGGCCTCCGTGCCCAGTTCTGTGGGGCTGGGGGTCTCGTCCACATCCTCCTGAGGAGCTGAGAGAAGAGATAGAGGCATAAAGGGCTGCTGGCTTTGCTGCTGCTGCCCACAGATGACAGCCATGGAAATGCCCTTACGCTGTGGGCTCAGGGGCTCTGTAGCCTTTGTATTTGCCATTCGGTCACTCACGGATGGAGAAGGCTGAGACAGCCCTTGCCCCATCCTGCTCTGGTGGGTTCTGTGGGGGTGAGGGGTCTCCCTTCGTGTCTGAGAAAGGAGCTGAGATGGGAAGAGAGGAAGCCTCTGAGGGTTCTTCCAAACCACGTTCACTGACAGTGCTGACCTCAGACAGTGAGGAGGGCAGTGAGGCCTCTTCCTACCTGTGCCCTCCCCAGGGCACTCTGGCTGCCCCACCCCTCATATGAGGATCTGACCATGGAATGTGCTCTTGCTGTGGCCTCCCCAGGCAGCCCTGCCCCTCCCTCCCCTTTAACCCCAAGGAATGAATTGCTAAGGCAGGGCTCCAGGCATGAGTGGGAGAAAAATTCTGGGGTGAGTGGGATCCAAGGAGAGACATGTCCTTCCCTGGCTGGCTCTGGAATCACAGCCCTGTGGGCACCTACCCGCCCCCTACAGTTAGGTCTCTGCTGAGGCTCCATGGAGTGGGGAGACTGTGGCACAAGGGAAACCAGCCCTTCTGTGACCTGCTACATGGGGGACTACTTTGGGATAGCAGATTGAGGAAAGAATTGGCAAGAATGACAACCCAGAGGAAGGGAGGGAGGTGGGGAGCAAAAAAGATTACTGGGAAGTGAGAGAGTCAGGGAGAAATTGCAGCTCACTCTGAAAATGCTTTGCTGCTCCAAGCACTATTCTAAGTGTGTGGGCTTTTTTTGTTTTTGTTTTTGTTTTTTTTTTGAGATGGAGTCTCACTCTGTCGCCCAGGCTGGAATGCAGTGGCGCGATCTCGGCTCACTGCAAGCTCCGCCTCCCGGGTTCACGCCATTCTCCTGCCTCATCCTCTTGAGTAGCTGGGACTACAGGCACCTGCCACCATGCCTGGCTAATTTTTTGTATTTTTAGTGGAGACACGGTTTCACCGTGTTAGCCAGGATGGTCTCGATCTCCTGACCTCGTGATCCACCCGCCTTGGCCTCCCAAAATGCTGGGATTACAGGCATGAGCCACTGTGCCTGGCCTTTCTAAGTGTTATACATATATTAACTCATGTAATTCCAACAGCTCTGTGCAGAGGGACTGAAATCCAGCCACCTGACAGAAGGGAAAGCTGAGGCACAGAGAGGTTAAGCAATTTGCACAAGGTCCTACAGGAAGTAAGTTGCAAGGCTGGTAGTGAGACTCGGGCAGTTGGCTCCGGAGTCTTTGCTCCTAACCACTATCCACACTATCTCTCATCAAATAATTCACAGGCCAGGGGAATGGCACTGGACAGGGAAAGGCTGGGGACATGGAGGAACAGGCTGGGATGCTGGGCTGAACACAATCCCTTTGCCCTGTTCCAAGGGGGCTGGGAGTCAAGGAGTCGGGAGCTGAGAGGAGTCCTCTTCATGCTGCAAAAAGGCTAGAGAAACGTGGTGCTCTTGTCACTTGGATCTGCCACCTCTGAACACAGCAGAAATGGCAGGAGGTTGTGGGCAGCAGGTGACAGAAGCCCAGAAGTGACCATGGCCCAAACCAGACCATGAAGGAGCCCAGTAAAAACTGAGGGGTGAGAACACAGTGACCGAATGGTGAGGACATCTGTGGGGAGGACAGCCCCAGGTGGAAGGATGAGTCCAGGTGTTTGGAATGGGGGAAAATAGGACCTGCCCTTGGAGATGAAGAAGTGAGGCTGAGGAAGAGATGAGGAGGTGGAGGCTGGATGAGGGGGACCTGGCATGCAGAGGACAGGAGAGCAGTGCGGGAGGAAGTGGGTGGAGGCTTTGGCAAAATGAGCTGAGAAGGCGAAGATGGAGGGAGGCTGGAAGGAGCCCCAGCCAAGTCCCGCTCACAGGATGGGGCTAGCAGGGGAGGGAGGCCTGGCAGCCATGACTCACCAGTCTTGGCCACCACAGACTCGGGCCCCACACGCTGCCTGCCACGAAGCCCGTAGAGGTTCATCTTATACTTCCGGTCGGGATCCAGGCCGGGGACAGTAACCTCATTCTCATCCCCCGCAACAGGCACTGCCTGGGGCTGCCCCTGTGCATCCTTGTACTGGACCATGAATGAGTCGAAGGGGCCCTGGGCCACTGTCCATGAGAGACGCAAGGAGTCTGGGGTCACGCCGGTCACTGTCAGTTCCCCCAGGAGGGGCTGCTCCAGGAACTCAGGGCGGGGGGGCTCCTCTTTCCTCTCTGGAGCTGTAAACAAGGAGATCCAGCCAGGTGCTGAACTGGCAGCCTGGGACTGGGGCTTGGGGTTTCGACGGGATGTCACACCTATGGGGGGTGGGGGGTCACTAGTCCATTAATTCGAGTGCTAAACTTCTGGGAAGCCTGACACAGCCAGGGTATGACACACCTTCTGGGCCACGGGGAGCTGCTGCTTGGGATGGAAGGGGCCCAGCAGTGCGGGGGAGTCTGGCTGCCCCTCAGCCCTGGAGTGGGGCCGGGAAGCTGGAGTCAGCTGTCTTGCTGGGGGACCCCAGCTGGTTTTGGGCTGAAGGGAAGTGTGCATGGGGCTGAGAAGGGGTCACATGGGGGCTGAGGTGGCTGCTACTCACCAGTGGTGCCATCGGCCGTGAGGGGGCCATACCGCTTCTTGTTCGCAATTCCAAACAGAGTGAATCTGTACTTGTGGTCAGGGTCCAGTGAGGAGACAACAAATGAACGCTCGGGCCCTTCCACAGGTACCACCTGGGGCCGTCCATCCCTGTCCCTGTACTGGACCATGAAGGTGTCAAACTGGCCCTCAGGGACAGTCCAGGAGAGGTGCAGTGAATCTGGGGTAGGGTCTGTCACCCACAGGTTTCCCAGGTGGGGTGGAGTCCCTGGACTTGGGTCACTCTGAGGCACTAGGAAGAGTGGGTAGAGAGAAGGGAGAGACTTAGGTCCAAGGAGAATGGGGAAGCCAAATCCCACATAGGAATGCTGTGTGAGGCTGTGCAGGTTGTTCACTGCACAAAAGTGCATTTGCTGAGGGAGTACAGAGGGACTGAAATCCAGCCAGCACTCTGCTTGCCGAGCTGTGTGCCCTGGTGAGGAGTGGTGTCCACTTTAAGGAATGGGTGCCTTCTTTCAAACGGCATGGAAGCACTGCGTGGACTAGTGTGGCTCTGCCTCCAACCACAAACCAGAGCAGCAGGGAGCTTCAGAAAGAGGGGAGCCCAGCCAGGCCCTTTCACATCTCCATAGCCAGGGAAATCTTCCCAGTACAACCTCCACTGCTTCCAAGCCTAACTACTAGCTGGCTTCTTCTCCAAGAGAGGAGAGCACAATCCTTGAAGCGTTTTAATGTGGGACAGCCTCCCTCATCTATGCTGCAGGCCTCTCCTCCTCTTTGGGAACTTTGACCCATGGATGGACTCCCTCGCCTGCAGCACTGACCCTTCACTCCCCAGCAGCTGTGCCATCAGCATTTCAACAAGCTACTGTCACACCCCTCCTCACCCCCACTCTGTGTGCATCTCTCTCTAGCCTCCATCTTCCCTCTTTGCTCTCATTCCCAGCCCAGATTCCAGAAAGTGATGTCTACACTGATTGCAGCCATGTCCTCACCTCCACCACCCTCCCGATCCAGCTCCACCCCTCCACCAGGCAGCAGCTCTCATGCAGGCCAGGGGTGGCCTTGCCATTGCTAAATTCTGTGGACGCTCCGTAGCCCTTGAATCACTGTTCCGGAATCTGACAAGTCCAACCGCACCCTCCTTCCTGGAGTCCAGACAGCACCCTCCCTGGTTCTGCCCCTCCCTGCAAGTCACTCCGCAAGCTACCCTGTGGGCTCTTCTTCCTCTGCCTCCGCTGTGAGTGTAGGCTGTCGACAGGGTTCCAGTGGCCCTGTCTCTTCCCCAACCCCACACGACTACTCTGGTGCCTCAATTCTCCTGACCTATAAAGTAGGCATGCCTCCCAGGTGTGCTTTATGGGGTGTGATGATCCACTTAGAGAACATCTTGATCACAACTGACTCTCAATAAATGCACAAAAGGTATTTATGTAAGTGTCTCTTAGATATTGATCTAAGTTTATCTAAGGCGTTGTTCCCCACCTCTGCTGCTCCCTGCCTCAGGGAATGGGACTGTCTCATCCAGAACCCTGGGGGCTGCCTGGTACACCTTGCTTTCCTTCGCCTCCCCCATCCAGCCCCACTGCCACCATCCCAGCTGACCCATCATCATTTTTCTTTTTTTTGAGACAGGGTGTTGCTCTGTGCAGAGTGTGGATAGCACCCAGGCTGGAGTACAGTGGCACAATCATGGCTCTCTGCAGCCTCGGTCTCCTGGGCTCAAGCGATCCTCCCACCTCAAGCCTCTCAAGTAGCTGGGACTACAGGCACGCACCACCACGCCTGGCTAATATCTTTTGTTATAGTAGAGATGGGGGGTCTCACTATGTTGCCAGGTTGGTCTCAAACTCCTAGCCTCAAGCGATCCTCCTGCCTTGGCCTCCCAAGGTGCTGGGATTATAGGCAGGATCAACCCTGCTAGCCTTTACCAGCTCTTAACTCACTTCTCCAGCTAGTCTCAGCAGCCACCCGGTTATTTGCAAGATAAATATCTAGTCTCATCACTCTCCCACTTTACCCTTCAGAGGCCCTCTAGGGGCCTTCGAATGAGGCCCAAGCCCCTCAGCACAGCACAGGAAGCCCTGAGACCAGGCCCTTTGGCACCCCCCACATGCCCTGTTCTCCAGCCAGAGGAAACTGTAACAGTGATTCTCTTACTGGCCATGCTCTCCCCACCTTACTCACCGTGACTCCCTCAGGCTGCACTGAGCTTCTCAAACTCTTTGCCTGCCCCACCACTACTTTCCCTTCAGAATTCAGCTCATGCACCACTGCCTCCAGGAAGCCTTCCCGGAGCTCCCAAAGCAGGTTCCCAAAGCACTGAGAAAACCTCTTCAGGGCAGTACAGAGGGCAGGGTGTTACTGCTGTCACTCACAGATCTTGGCTTCAGCCACCAGCGGACCATGCCTCTTCTTGCCAACAAACCCATACAGGACAAATTTGTACTTGCGGCCAGGATCCAGGGAGGTGATGACGGCCGAGCGCTGGGGTCCTTCCACGGGCACCACCTGGGGCTGCCCGTCCCTGTCTTTGTACTGGATCACGAAGGAGTCAAACTCGCCCTCGGGGACCGTCCAGCGCAGGAGCAAGGAGTCGGAGGTCCTGTCTGTCACCGTCAGCTCACCCAGGCGTGGTGGGCCTGAGGACTTCCCAGGCTTCTCCTCATCCTTGTCTGGAGTTTGAGAGGCAAAAGCAAAGCATAGTGGACTCAACCGTTCTCTTGTCTGTGTCTCCTTCCCTCTCCCCTGCCCACCTCACTCCATCCTGGATAGATCCCTCCCCGGAAGACTCTATCTGCCCACCCCTCAGTGACTAGCTCTTCTGGAAGAGGGGCATTTCCCTCTCAATCTCTGCTTCTTCCCTTGTGACAGTTTCTCCATCCCTCACAAGGTCTTGGTCTCTCTGCACACCAGGATCTTTGCGGGGGTTTCAGGTCCCCCTGGTTCTGAATGAGAGTTTCAAGCCTCCCTGCTGCAGCATCAGAGCAGTCTGAAAGCTCCTCTGCCCACCTGAGCTGCTGTCTCTCTTACCACCCTCTCTTCCAGTGGTGAGCTTGACCTGGAGCTGGGGGATGAGTCAGCCACCCTGGTCCCACAGAGAGGAACAAAGAGGGGATGTGAAAGCCAGGTACCCCAGGACCTGTCTTTCACTGGTCCTGCAAACCTCATCCATGTCTGAAGTCCTGATGGCTGTGGAGCCCCCTGCCCCAAGGAGCCTTCACCCCCAGCAGAAACTGGCTGATGGGACCATGGACTGCTGTCCACTGCAAACCAGGCTCCCAGGGACGAGGTATTGGGGGCTGAGGGTCAGTGTCCAGAGGCCTTCCCATGCCCACCCTGAAAGATTTATAGGGCAGGGAAGGGCAGAGGAGCAACCGAAGAGTGGGGGCAGGGGACAGGGCAAGGAAAGCTGCAGGTGGAGGGCCAGGGACCTTCAGCCTCTCTCCTGGAATCTCTGTCCCACCCTCGGCCTTTTTACCTCTGCCTCTTTCCCCTCTCCCCACCCATCCTTATCATTGTTTTAAGATCCCCCTCGATCCATCTTCCTGCTGAACCTGCAATTCCTTTTCTCTCCTTTTCTCCTCTATCCAGCCCCAAACATCAGCCCTGCCCTTCACTGGCCCCTCAATATCCATCCTACCTCTGAAGTCCCAATAACCCCAGCTCCTCCCCCAATCTCAGGATATTGATCTGAGCAGAGTCCAAGATGTACCCATAATGCCTTGGTAGATGATGGGGTCAGAGGGCTTGCCCCCAGGAGGGACCCCATGAAGTGACAGCTCATACGGGGTTCCAGGAGGGGGTGGAGGCACCAGAGCCTGGCGGACGTCCCCTGGCAGCACTTCCTCATGTGCCCCCGGCCCCTCGGGCACCCGCATGCGCAGTTGGAAGTAGGCAAAGGTGTCAGGCTGGGCGGTCCAGACCACACGGAGGCGCCCTGTCTCATCTCTGCCCAGCACCCTCAACTCTCCCAGCTCCTGGGGGCGCTGCTGCAGGAGAGGAGCCTGGGCCCCTTGCGTCGTCGAGGGGCCTGAGGGAGGAGGCTCATCGGTAGTCCCCAAGAGGCCCAAGGGTGAGGACCCTGGGAAGGGGCAGGGTGAGAAAAAGAGGAGAGTCCAGTATGAGAACTAGAAAGGAATCCCCAGTCCCCAGGTTCTGCCCTCCAGCCTCTAAGAGCCTTGTTCTACTTCTACTTCTGGTTCCCTCACCTGGGCCACTCCCTCCTCCCAAAGGTCAGCCAATCCTCCAAACACCCCCATCTACCACATTCCTGAGCAGACGGGCCTGTGCTTCAGGCAGGTAATAGGTAAAATAAAGCCTGCTATCCTTCACCCCACAAGGCTTCCATGACCTCCAGCCCCCGGAGACTTCCATGTCCCTCCCCACATACATCCCCCCCACTGGGTGGTGGTCAGGTGGCTTCCATTAGTGCTGCAGTGAGAAGCCTGGAAGAAAGACAGTGGTGTTAGAGAGGGAGGATGCAAGAGGAGAGTGGGCAGTGGGAAGAGAGAGAGGGTGTGGGGGTGGACATCCAGGTCAGGTGGCATCTGGGCCCTATGGGGGAAGAAGAGGTCCACCACCCTCCCCACAGCAGCCACAGGGTGCCCTTTCCCCAAGCCCAGACATCGTTCCTGTGGGAGAGACCAGCATAAAGTGAGCCAGGGGGTCTGAAAAGCCAGCTTAAGAAGCAGTGGTTTCACCTCCCCAATATACAGTTGCTGCCTGATGGCACCCAGGCCACCCCCACGCAGTTCTGATGTGTCCCTTCAAGGTCAAGGCCAAATTGTGGAAAACAGTAACCACTAACCACAGTCTTCAGCCACTCTCACCACAGTGAGTCAGAACGGGAATCACTGTTTTCAATTCCCAGCCCACTCAAACTGCTCCAGTGAATCTTTGCAGGTGCCCCAACCACATCACCCTCTATTGCCTAAAATAACAATCCTGGAAGTGTCCCGGGAAACCCCAAAGAAGGCGCTGCCTTGACCTTAGGCATCCACAGGATGGATGCCAGGACCCTGGGGTGGGGACGTCTTCTAGGGACAATGGACTCGTGCTTTGTCCTGGGGGCCCCCTGGAGCCCCGGCCAGGTAGGGCCTGAAGGTAGAAGGGGGCAGTGGGGGGTGGCAGTGGGAGGAATTCATGAATGCAGGCTCCAACGGCAGGTGAGGCTGGACAAGGGATAGGTGTCCCGTGGCCCCAGCCCACACTACCTGTGGTGGTGATGAAGGCGTAGGACTTGGAGGTCTGCCCCGCCCGCACCCCGTGGACCTCCACGTGGTAGGTGGTGCCGGGCCTGAGGTCGGGCAGGCTGACGGTGCGCGTGGTGCCCGGCACAGTCAGCTCACCGCCGGGGCCCTCTGCAGGCGGCTGAGGCCGCCAGCGCAGCACCACGCGCTCGAACTGGCCGCGGAGCCCGTCGAGAGACACGAGAAGCGCGCCATCGGCGGAACTGCCCAGCACCTCTGGCTTGGGGTGGCGGGACGCAGCCACCCGGTCGACGCCTTCAGGCGAGAGGCCGTAGATTCCCTGGTTGGAGTCCCGTTTCCTGGTGCCGGGATCAGGGCTGGCGGTGGGGCGGGGGTGGCGGGGCGGGGGTGCGGGGGAGCCGGCTGGGGCGGCGGCCAACAGACGCCGCTGCAAGTATTCATGGATGTGGCGCGCCACCGACGTGTAAGTCTGGTTGGCCCGCAGTGGGTAGCCGTGAGCCCGCAGGTGGCGCTCCAGGTCCTGCACCGTGCCGCGGAAACGGCTCAGCTCGGCCGTCAGGTTGCCCCAAGGCCGCCGTGGGGGCTGGGACAGGCTTGGCCTGGGCGGGGACTCCTCCTCCCTTTCCTCTGCTGGCCTCGAGGGCCAAGGGGGCCGTGGGGGCCGCGGGGCTGGGGCTGGCCGGGGCCGGGACTTGGGGGGCGGGGCTGGGGGGCGCACCTCCGGGTAACTGTAGTGGCCTGGTGCTGCCAGGGGCAAAAAAGGGGAGAACAGGTCAGTGGCAGCTCCCTCCCGGCACTCCTTCCCGCGGCAGCCCCTCCCTCGATCCCTCCCACCAGAGCCAGAGGCCTCTTCCCTGTGCCCCAGCCCCACCTGGAAAGAGAACGGAGGGAAATCGGTCAGTGTCCCGCAGCCCCCCCATTCCCCTCCAAGCCCACCACTGTTGGTGCCCTAGAAAGAAGAGAGAAGCCCGTGGGTGGGGCCCTGTAGCTGAAGGAGAGAAAGGGGAGTCGGGGAAGAGAACATGAGCTACAGCGAGGTGGGTGTCCCCCTGTCACAGGAAAAGAAAAATATCCAGGTATCTGTTAAGAAACCTCGAGGTTTAGTGGAAAATCACTGCTGTGAGACCCACCTCCCAGCAATCCCAATCCAAAAGTCAACAGGACTGATGATCTCTAATCTGCCTAATTCCAGTCCCACAAGATCTATCAGCACAAGGCCTGTCCCGGTACCTAAATTTAAAAAAGAACCTCCCTTAACTGACTGGATCAGGCAGCATCTCCTATTCACTTCTCTCCCTGGGGCCATTCCTTTCATAGGCTAACCTGTAACCTTCCTACAGGACTCCAGGCATCTGAGGGCTCTGTCTCCCCAGTGGCCTCAGGACAGAGCAAGGCCCCCAGCAGGTGCCTCGAGACTGCCACACACCTGCCAGAAGCATTCAGAGGAGTCTGTGAGCCCTGAGCCTGGGCTCCTGAGGAGGAGGATCCAAGGCTGGGAAACCAGGGCCCTTCCCTAACCTCTGGCCAGCCATACCTGTGTTGGCCCTGACAGAAGCTGGGTAGCTGACTGCCCGGCCCCGCTCCGCTGTGACAGTCACCACATATTCTACGCCTGGCATCAGGTCAGTCAGCAGCGTCCCGTCTGCTTCAGGGGGCACTTCCAGCCTCACCCTCTGGTTGCCGGCACTGACGTAGGACACCACAAATCGGTCCACCTCAGCCTGGGGACGCAGCCAGCCAAGCTCCAGTGTTGTCGGTGTCACAGCCACCACTCGGAGGTCCTGGGGCCCATCGATCACTAGCCAGGTTAAAGAGGAGGACTCAGGTGGGTGTCTGGTTCTTCAATCATCATCTTTCCTTCCAAGAGCCTAGCCCCCATCCAGCCCCTTCCTTCTGCCCTCCCGGAGGGCAGATTCCCTCTCTAGTCCAGATCTCCACTCAGGACACCCCTCCCCACAGCCCCAGCTCTCACTGGTGGTGATGGTCTTGGAGGCAGGAAGGCCCCAGCTGGTCCCTCGAAGGGCTCGGACAGTGACCTGGTACTCCTGTCCAGGGGCCAGTCCTCTCTGGTCATAGGCTGAGGCAGAGCTTGGAACCCGTGCTGTGAATGGGGGGCTCGCCCCCTCTGTCTGTGAGAGAGAGCACCAGGTGGCTCAGGGGCTGGCACTCTTGCCTCTGCTGCTCAATCCCCCTTATCTCTTCTTTCTCCAATTCTAAACAGTGTCAGCATGGTACTGTGTGGAACTTGACCCTGTACAAGCTGGGGAGCAAACATGCTGAGAGCGCTAACTCCTTGTGAGCCACTGTTCTAGGCGAGGTACACACATGAACTCACTTAATTCTCACAACAACCCTACGAAACAGGTCCTATTAGTCCCATTTTACAGATAAGGAAACTGAGACACAGAAGGACAAGTATCTTGCCAACGTCACCAACACCAAGAAAATGGCAAGAATTTAGGCCCTAGCAGTGTGATCCCAGAGTCCCCTCTCATGGGCACCCCCTATTTATCTGTCAGAGTCCCCTCTCATGGGCACCCCGTGTTCATCTGCCAGAATTCCACCCAACATGCACCAGGACTCTCCCTCCAGCTTTGCCCTGGCAACTCTGACTACCTGGGCATGAGGAGCCTTTTCCTAAGCTTGGTCCTGTCAGAACAAATGAAGTAGATCAAGGATGCCCCTTCAAGTTGCACTTTCTCCTTAAAGGGTCTGCCTCACCCTGAACCTCCTCGTAGATGCCTGCTCATGGCTGTGTAACAGGAGTGGGACCCGCATCACAACCTTTCCCTTGAGGGACTTTTCTTGTCTCTTCACCCGGGTTGTAGGCTCCTCAAAACAAGAACCACCTGCTCAAAGTTCCACAAATATGTTTCCTGATTGTTGATTTTGTACCTGGCATCATGCTGGGCATTGGAGACACAAAAATAAAATATATGGTCCCTGTCCTCAGGTAGCTGAGACTCTAATAGCTAAATGTATGGCCACATCTTGAATATATGAGATACTTACAACAATCTCTATGCTTAGCAAATGCTTGTGAGAAAACAACACTCCTACAAGTGTACATTTAAGGAATTATGATTATGTGTGGTGCCTCCAAAGGGAATCTACTGGACCCTGCTCCAGGCAGGGTCTCCTGGAATGCCCACCACTGGGGAAACAGGAGGAACTGTACATCTGTGAGCATTCTAACAGCCCCACATTTTGCTGTGCTGTCCAGCTAGGACAGCCGCTAAGGATGCTGTGTTCTGCCTAGCTATGTTGGCTGTGATGGGGACACCTCCATTCAGCCAAGTAGGATTGGAAATTTCAAAAGGTACTCTCCTAAACCAAGAGAACTGTGGGGAAATCAACATAGTAAATACCGAAGTATAAAACCAGATGAGAAGGCCACGTAGAGATTTCTGGGTTGAGGATGAAGTAAAGCTTTGTCAGTTTTCTGGGTTGAAAAGTTTTCCTGGGCACATAGGACCTCCAGCCCTCTCCTATTCACCCTGCCTTAGAATACCCCAGCCTAGGAAGCCTTGGGTTGGCCTCAACTCAAGACCCATGAAATCCTTACCCTTCCCAGAATTTATTTGTTCATTTTCTCTGTGTGTGTGTATGTCTCTTTCTCTTTATCCACACCCACCCCATCCCCACAGCCGCAATACACACACCTTGGATGCTCCCTGATGATGTCTGGTTCTTTCAGTGAGGCAAGCCTATCCCCAGAGTTCTCCTTCTCCCTATATATATCCTTTAGACACTTCTTGGTTCCTCCTGAGATCCATCTGGGAACAGTCCCCTGAAAGTCCATCAACCTAACCCATGTCTCCTACGTCTCCTAGCACCATCTTACTGGTCTGAAGCAGGCTTTCTTTTTTCTTTTTTTGAGAGGGAGTTTTGCTCTTGTTGCCCAGGCTGGAGTGCAATGGCGCGATCTCAGCTCATCGCGAGCTCCGCCTCCCGGGTTCAAGCGATTCTCCTGCCTCAGCCTCCCGAGTAGCTGGGATTACAGGCATGCGCCACCATGTCCGGCTAATTTTGTATTTTTAGTAGAGACGGGGTTTCTCCATGTTGGTCAGGCTGGTCTCGAACTCCCGACCTCAGGTGATCCACCCACCTCAGCCTCCCAAAGTGCTGGGATTACAGGCGTGAGCCACCACACCTGGCCCTGAAGCAGTCTTTCTAAACAGATGCTGGCAGCTGGCTCTGCCCCTTGGTAAAGCTTGGCTGCTTCACTGATTTTTTTTTTTTTTGAGACGGAATTTCGCTCTTGTCTCCCAGGCTGGAGTGCAATGGCACGATCTCAGCTCACTACAACCTCCGCCTCCAAGATTCAAGGGATTCTTCCTTAGCCTCCCAAGTAGCTGGGATTACAGGCATATACCACCATGCTCAGCTAATTTTGTATTTTTAGTAGAGATGGGGTTTCACTATGTTGGTCAGGCTGTTCTCAAACTCCTGACCTCAGATGATCCACCCACTTTGGCCTCCCAAAGTGCTGGGATTACAGGCATGAGCCACTGCGCCTGGCCTGCTTCACTGATTTTGTTCTTGGGAAGTTTTAGAGTTTATCTCAATATTAACCTCGTGGCTCCAGATGAACTCTACCTTGGCTGGTCCTTGGAGCTTATCTCACCCTCATTGCTGTTTTTAGACTAGACCCAAGCAAAAACTTCTCTGAGGCTGTGAGGTTTTGAGTCCCAGTGAACACTTAGCCTAGCCCTGATTTCCAGGCTGCAGGACACACCCAGACAAGGAATATCTGAACCTCTTTCTCATTCAGGAACTCATCTCCCTCAGTTTCCCCATGCTTTCTCTCACATTCATAGTGGAGCTAGCACTTTGCAAAATAGCAACATTCCTTCACTTAGGGGGCCTCAGGCTGGAGGGGCATCAGAATCACCTGGAGGGCTTGTTGCAATACAGGTTACTGGGCTCTGTGCCCAGACTTTCTGACTCAGTAGATCTAGTGGGGGAGTCTGACAATTTGCATGCCTAACATACTCCCAGGTGATGCTGATGCTGCAGGTCCAGGGAACACACTTTGAGAACCACTGAGTCAGAGTAACAGTGCCACATATACAGGGAGAGGAGAAACTTTCTTCTTCTGCATTCTGAAAAATAATTCCAATAACTAGGTATGTCCCTTGATCTGGAATAGCAGAGTTTGGGCTTTGAGAGAGAAGTGCTTCTGGGAAGAGGGAAGGTAAGAGGTAGAGATAGGCTTCTAGGATGACAGCAGCAGCCAGAGGA
Source organism: Homo sapiens (assembly GCF_000001405.40). Classification (NCBI taxonomy): domain Eukaryota; kingdom Metazoa; phylum Chordata; class Mammalia; order Primates; family Hominidae; genus Homo; species Homo sapiens. The sequence continues at coordinate 3,397,497 of NT_167246.2, forward strand.
CAGACAGCTATTGAATATACTCTGTACCCACAGAAATGGACAAAGGGTAGCTGGGCATTGTGGCAGGTGTCTGTAATCCCAGCTACTTGGGAGGCTGAGGCAGGAGAATCGTTTGAACCTGGGAAGCAGAGGTTGCAGTGAGCCGAGATTGCGCCATTGCACTCCAGCCTGAGCAACAAGAGCAAAACTCTGTCTCAAAAAAAAAAAAAAGAAAGAAAGAAAAGAAAAGAAATAGATGGCACTTGCCAAGGCAGAAGGTACGATGCCAGGGACCAGCTACAGACAGCAGAAAGCATGGTCTGAGGGTGGGTAGCCCAGGCCCAAGAGGAGTGTCTGGGGACCAATTTTACAGGAGTGTTTTCCACACCCAGGCTCAGAGAAGACCCAGAATGTGACAGATGCCCATACCGAGAGCAGAATGGATGAGCTAAGAACATGGCCAAGCCTGGCACAGGCCAACTTGGCACCACCATCCTGGCTCTGAGTGAGGGAGAAAGTCTAGGGCTTCAACTGGAAAGCGGCGCCCTTGACAACACCAAGGATCGGTTTGTATTTATTTACTCAGAGCAGGAGACAACTGCTGCCCTAAAAGCTCCTCTTATCTCAAGTGTTTATTTTAATTCTTCTTTCCCTGAAATTTCTTAAGAAACTTCCTTTTCGAAGTCCCACCCTTTCAAGATTAGAGCTATGTAAATAATATATACAGAGAAGAAGAGAGTGGGAGAAACACTTTAAAATGTTAGCAGTGCTTGTTTTAGTGAGGAGCAGCCAGGAATTGTTTTTCTTTTCTCTAGTTGCCAAATTCTTGTCTCGTGATTAAAGTATTTTTATAACAACAACAAAAAAAGATGTTTAAACAGAAGAAAAAATTCAAGCTATCTTGGTTGCGCCACGAAGTTGAGATTTCTGCTTCTGCTTTGGCTGGAGAGTGAGGAGAGGCAGAACATAGTAGGGGGCTGGCCTGAGGAGCATAATGACAAGACAAAGCAAAGTGGAGTGAGGATGACAGTTCCTCTGAGCTGTCCCCTTCTGTCCTAGTGCCTTCCGAGGCTTTAGGCCCAGGGAGTTGTTTATTTTTACAGAGTCCTGGCTAAGCTGATGAAGATGAGGATGACATGGCCCACACCCCATATGGCATTTGTGGGATGATGCAGGAAAACATGAGTTGGATGGTAGAAATGTCAGAAGATTTGCAGCTGGGGAAACGACCATATCTTAAAAGCCCAGTCTGCACAAAGGGAGGCCCCAAATAAGTGACCACAAGGCTTTGTCCTTAGGGTGTTCCCTCTAATGTTTTAAGAGCAAGTTGGATGGCCAGGAGTGGTGGCTCATGCCTGTAATCCCAGCACTTTGGGAGGCTGAGGCGGGCAGATCACTTGAGCCCAGGAGTTCAGGACCAGCCTGGGCATGCAACATGGAGAAACCCCGTCTCTACTAAAAATACAAACATTAGCAGGCTAAGGTGGTGCACACCTGTAGTCCCAGCTACTTGGGAGGCTGAGGTAAGAGGATGACCTAAGCCTGGGATGCAGAGGTTGCAGTGAGCTGAGATGGCACCACTGCACTCGAGCCTGGGCCACAGAGTGAGACTCTCTGTCTCAAAAAAAAAAAAAAAAAAAAAAAAAAAAAGAGCAAGTTGGAGGGAGACAGAGAAAAAACTGGTTTGCATGTACTGATGACAAGGAGGTGGGAGATGAAGTTCACAGACTCAAAATTATTGCAACAGCCTAGACAGCTTGGCCCAAACCAAAAAAGATAACATTGAACAGGGCCAAATGCAAAGGCCTATATTTAGGTGAAAAAAAAAAAAGTGTATATAGTTGAATGTTGTCTTCTTTCCTTCCATCTTTTTTCCCTGCTAATCTGTATTTTCTAAGTTTTCTGCACGGGGCCTATATTACTTTTATAATTAAAAGTTACTTAAAAAACCAAATATGACCAAAACAGCTGCCTGCTTGTGTGACTACAAATTGCTATACGCCAGCTCTGAGAAAAGTGTCCATAAATTCAGAGTAAGTCAGTGGGCCCCTCTCTGTCCCCACATTTTGGGGGCACATGAAAAAAGCAAGAATCACAGGAAGGTAAAGGATTCAGAGAATAAAGACTTAGGGAAAAGGGGCGAAGAAACTGGGAGGTTTTGCCTGAGGAATGAAGACATCAGGCTGGTGTCTCCAAATACCTGAAGGCCTGTGGTGTAGGACACAGGGAAAGCAAAAAACATTCCAGCTGCTGATGAATACCCAGCTAGGGCCAACGGACAGGTGCTAGAATAGGGGCAGACGGATTCTGCAACAATGATAACAGCTAACAGTGATGACCAACAATGGACTGGACAGCCTCAGGAAGTACTGAGCTCTCTGTTACCAGGTGTTCCAACTGTGTGGGACCAATGCTTGCTGGAGATGCTGCAGAGGCCTCAGTGCCCAGTGTCAAGCAGGCTAAGAAAGCCTTTACAGCAGCTTCAGGTACCCAGCCATCTGGACTCAACCAATGATCACCTGGAACTTCCTCCAGGAGGTGAGCCCTGCCCCCCTGTCCTGCCCACTCAGTCCCCTCCTGGAGCCTGGCATCTCTCTCACCGTGGGGATGAACTGAATTTCATAGGCATCCACGGGGCCAGGAGCCGGGGTCCACTCTGTCCGAACTGTTGTCTCCTCCAAGAGATGCATCCTCATGCCCTCAATGGTTGGCACCTCTGCCCAAGAGAATGGGTTAGGGAAAGCTGGTTAGCACAAGGCAACCACCCCCACCCACAGCCCCTTTTACTCAGGGACATCGAAGAGGCCCATCCTAACTCCCACTCCTCTCTGCTAGTGGAGAATAGCTGACAGAGGGCTGAACGGGGCTTGGATCGCCTTCACCTTCTCTCCATCTTCAGGAGCACAGAATCTCCCTAAATGCAACTAAATGGGCCCCAACCTGCTCCTCAGAGATCTGAAGGCCAGTCCTGCCCACTGGAAAGCCCCACCCCTGTGGTTCTGCTGCCCCTGGTGGGCACTGGCTCCTTGGAATGACATGCTCTCCCTCCACTCTTCCTCAGGCTCAGGTCTTCCCCATGGCTCCTGTTCACAGAATCACAGTCCCAGAGTACACTGGGGAAGGCTGCCTGCTCACCTTCTCCGCAGTCTTCGCCAGCATACCCATCTTTGCAGACACAGCTGCCATCGTGACACTCTCCTCGGCCACGGCAGTCCCCTGGGCATGTCTGGATGGCACAGTCAGGGCCTCGGAAGCCCTCTACACACACACACTGGCCTGCCCGGCACAGTTCCCGGGGCCCGCAGCCTCCAGGGCAGGCGCTGGCTGGAGGCTCTTCCTGCCCGCAGTCCTCACCGCCATAGCCCACGTGGCACAGGCACACTCCTTGCACACACCGCCCACGTCCCCGGCAGTCAGCCGGGCACATGCGGGTGGCACAGGTAGGGCCGGTGTAGCCTGGGTCGCACAGGCAGCGCCCTTCCTCACAGCGGCCCCTCCCGTGGCAGTTGGAGGGGCAGGTGCGGATGCTGCAGTCCTCACTCACGTAGCCTTCCCAACAGATGCACACACCGTCCTGGCACACGCCGTGCTGGCTGCAGTCATTCGGGCACTGCCTCACACCGCAATCCTCGCCAGAGTAGCCGTCCTCGCACACACACCGCCCATCTAGGCACTGGCCGCGGCCTCGGCAGCCCCCGGGGCAGCTGCGCGTGCTGCAGTCTTCCCCTGAGTAGCCTGCGTCACACACGCACACGCCATCCTCGCAAAGGCCGTGCCCACGGCAGTCCCCGGGACAGCGACGGCTCCCACAGTCCTCACCGGTGAAGCCCGGGTTGCACACGCAGCGGCCATCCACGCAGCGCCCGCGCCCGCGACAGTCGCCAGGACAGGCGCGCGTGCCGCAGTCCCGGCCTGTGTACCCCGGCCAACACATGCAGCGGCCACTCTCACAGCGGCCCCGGCCACGACAGTCCCCAGGACAGCTGCGCACACCGCAGTCCTCGCCGCTGTAGCCCGCATTGCAAACACACACGCCGTTCTCGCAGCGCCCGCGACCTCTACAGTCGCGTGGGCAGGCGCGCGAGCCGCAATCGGTTCCAGTGTACCCCGGCCAGCACACGCAGCGGCCGTCCTCGCAGCGGCCCCTTTGGTTGCAGTCGCCAGGGCAGCTGCGCACGCCGCAGTCGTCCCCGCTGTAGCCCGTGTCGCAAATGCATTCGCCGTCCTCGCAGCGCCCGCGGCCCCGGCAGTCCCTCGGACATGTCCGCGTGCTGCAGTCCTCGCCTGTGTACCCGGGCCAGCACACGCAGCGGCCGTCCACGCAGCGCCCGCCCTCGCCACAGTCCCAGGGGCAGCTCCGCGTACCACAGTCCTCGCCAGTGTAGCCGGGGTCACACACGCAGCGCCCGTCCTTGCAGCGTCCCCGCTGGCTGCAGCCCCGAGGGCAGCTCCTCACCCCACAGTCCTCGCCAGTGTAGCCGGGGTTACACACGCAGCGCCCATTCTCACAGCGCCCCCTCTGACTGCAACCGCGAGGGCAGCTCCTCATGCCACAGTCGTCACCAGTGTAGCCTGGGTCACACACGCAGCGCCCACCCTCACAGCGTCCCCTCTGGCTGCAACCTCGAGGGCAGGAGCGCTGGCTGCAGTCGGGGCCTGAGAAGCCTGCCCGGCACACACACACGCCCTGCACGCAGCGCCCACGGCCTTGGCAGTCCCCGGGACAGGATGGCCAGCCACAGCTGGGGCCAGTGTAGCCGGGAAAGCACACGCAACGACCACGGACACAGCGACCCTGATCATTGCAGTCATCTGGGCAGGACCCCGAGGCTGAGGGTGGGGAAGAGGGAGGGATCTCAGCATCTGTGGGGTCTGAGCAGGTGGGCCCACCCCAGCCTGGCTCACAGGAACAGGTGCAGCGGCTCAGATCAAACACACCATGGAGACTGCAGAGGGTCCGCACATCTGTCTGACCTGGAGTAGGAGGGGAGAGGCAAGTCTCAGTCTCTCTCCTGGGAGAGAGGCTGAGCCTATGTAGTGCTCCTATGTGCAGGCCCCTAGCCAGGCTAGCCTCATCTCATAAGGCCATGTCTGCTCCCAGTTGCTAGTATGTGTAATGTATGCAGCCTCTCAGGGCCCTCGCATATGCTTTGGTTGACATGTAGCCCAGCTCTGCTCTCCAAGTTGTGTTCTGGGCTGCATCCACACCCCTCATGGTGAGGAAGGAGTGCCTTCTTCTAATTCATACCAAGGACCTTTATGGACTAGCAATGCCCACCCCACCCCACCTCTCCACCCTCTTCTGTGATCACCTGCTCACCTGTGCCAGCTTGGGCAGAGGCAGGACAACATCCCCCAGTGCACTGTTCCTTGAGCCCCTTCACCAACTCCTCCAGGATCTCTAGACGGACCCTCAGGGCCTGTACCTCTGAAGCAAGGACTGGGGGCTCGGTGCCTGGGGGACAGCCACAGCCAGTGGAAGGGGGCAGGTTAATGCGGTGGGTGAATACCACCTGCTTCTCCCCTCCTTCCACTGTGTGCTCGTAAAGCTGAGAAGAGGGGCTTCCCACTCCAGCCCCCACTGTGTGGCCCCCTGGCTGGGGAGGGGGCCGGGGGGCTGGCAGTGTCACATTGGACCGTGAAGAGAAGGGGCCTGCTCTGGCTGTGCTCAGCAGCACCAGGAGAACCAGGCTGGAGGTTAGAGCATACTGGGCTGGCATCATTCAGGAGGCTGCAGGGAGAAAGGGTAGGTATGAGAGCAGCTTCAAAAAGGAGACAAAATGAATCCCCCCTTCTCCAGCACATACCCACGGTCCCACCACCCACAAGTAATCTACCCAACTCACATGCATGTAAAAATTCACATTCCGCCCAACCCTAAAGGATACCCTCCCTGGGCAAGTCTGTTCTCTACCTCTCTGATATCATTTATTTACCCTGCTCCTCACCCCCTTTTCTATTGTGTTCTCCTACACTGGTTTTTTTGTTTTGTTTTGTTTTGTTTTGTTTTGTTTGTTTGTTTGAGACGGAGTTTCACTCTTATTGCCCAGGCTGGAGTGCAGTGGTGCGATCTCAGCTCACCACAACCTCCGCCTCCCAGGTCCAAGCGATTCTCCTGCCTCAGCCTCCTGAGTAGCTGGGATTACAGGCATGCCCCACCATGCCTGGCTAATTTTGTACTTTTAGTAGAGACCGGGTTTCTCCATGTCGGTCAGGCTGGTCTCAGACTCCTAACCTCAGGTGATCTGCTCGCCTCAGCCTCCCAAAGTGCTGGGATTACAGGCATGAGCCACCGCACCCGGCTCTACACTGGTCTTTTGTTTTTCCCACGAGCACTACAAGCTCTCACTACTCCAAGGGCCTTTGCATTGTGTGTTCCCTATGTCTGGGATGCTCTTCACTCTGCTCATAAAGGCTGGCTCCATCTTCAAATCTTAACTCCCAGTTAGGGCAGTCTTCCATTACTCTCTATCACAATATCCTGTTCCTGTTCTTCATGGCATTTACTGCTGCCTGAGTTATCAGTTTACTTATTACCTTTCTCTCAATGCTACAATGGGAGCTCCATGAGAACAAGGACCTCATCTATCCCAGGACTGCTGTATACTTGTGTCTGGCACATAAATGTTCTATCTGACACATCAATGTTGAATGAATTAGTGGATGAGTACCTAGGGCCAATCCTTCCCCAAACACCTGGATCCCAGCTCCTACTGTCTTCTAAGAAAAGTGCAGATTATCTTCTCCCTCTCTCTCTCACTTTTTTTTTTTTTTTTGAGATGGAATCTTACTCTGTCGCCCAGGCTGGAGTGCAGTGGTGCGATCTCGGCTCACTGCAACCTCTGTCTCCTAGCTCAAGTGATTTTCCTGCCTCGGCCTCCTGAGTAGCTGGGATTATAGGTGCCCACCTCCATGCCCAGCTAATTTTTGTATTTTTAGTAGAAATGAGGTTTCACCATGTAGGCAGGCTGGTCTCGAACTCCTGACCACAAGTGATGTGCCCGCCTTGGCCTCCCAAAGTGCTGGGATTACAGGCATGAGTCACCGCACGACCTCTTTCTAATATAGAGACAGGATCTTGCTCAACCCCCTGGTTGAAGCTGGACTTGAACTCCTGGGCTCAAGCCATCCTCCCACCTCAGCCTCCCAGGTAGCTGGGATTAAAAGCATGAGCCACCATGCTTGGCTTCTCTCTCTTTTTTATTCAACTCCTCACTCTCAACTGGATCCTTGCTCAAATATCTCCAATTGAAAAAAAAAAAACAAAAATCCTCTTCCTCAGGACTTACATGATCAAATATCAAGACTTATTTTAAAGGTGCAAGGATAGACAGATGAAACAGAATAGGGCCCAGAAACAGGCCCACACATATGTGGTCAACTAATTAACGACAAAAGTGCCCCTGCAGTTAAGAGGAGAAAGGATGGTCTTTTTAGTTCCTGGTGCTGGGTCAATCCAACATCCCTAAGTAAAAAAAAAAAAAAAAAAAAAAAAACAGTCATTCTCCACCTTATGTCTGATATACCGAAATTAATTTGAGATGAACCCAGGACCTAAATAAGAAAAGTAAAGCAATATCTTTCATAGCAATATCTTACAGAAAATTTCTGACCTTGGAGTAAGCAAGATTTCTTTTTTTTTTTTTTTAAGACTGAGTCTTGCTCTGTCGCCCAGAGTGGAGTACACTGGTGCTATCTCGGCTCACTGCAACCTCCGTCTCCCAGGTTCAAGTGATTCTCCTACCTCAGCCTCCTGAGTAGCGGGGATTACAGGCATCTGCTCCCACACCCAGCTATTTTTTGTATTTTTAGTAGAGACGGGGCTTCACTATGTTGGCCAGGCTGGTCTCAAACTCCTGAACTCAGGCAATCCGCCCGCCTCGGCTTCCCAAAGTGCTAGGATTACAGGCTTGAGTCACTGCACCCAGCCGCAAGATTTCTTAAGTAAAACACACACAAAACCTAACCATAGGCCGGGTGCAGTGGCTCGTATCTGTAATCCCAGCACTTCAGGAGGCTTAAGTGTGAGGATTGCATGAGCCCAGGAGTTGGAGACCAGCCTGGGTAAGATAGTGAGACTCTGTCTCTACAAAAAACAAAAAGAATTCACTGGGCGTGGTGGTACACCTGTAGTCCCAGCTACTCAGGGGCTGAGGTGGGAGGATTACTTGAGTCTGGGAGGTCGAGGCTGTGGTGAGCTGTGATCATGCCACTGCACTCCAGCCTGGGCAACAGAGCTGATACTCTGTTTCAAAAAAAAGAAAAAGAAAAAAACAAAACAAAATTTCAGGTCATCAAATTACATCATTAAGAGAATAAGAAGGCAGCTGGGTGTGGTGGTTCACACCTGAAATCCCAGCACTTTGGGAGGCTGAAGTGGGCGGATCATGAGGTCAAGAGTTCAAGACCAGCCTGGCCAACATGGTGAAACCCCATCTCTACTAAAAATACAAAAATTAGCTGGGCGTGGTAGCGGGCACCTGTAGTCCCAGCTACTCGGGAGGCTGAGGAGGAGAATCGCTTGAAACTGGAGGCGGAGGTTGCAGTGAGCTGAGATCATGCCACTTCACTTCAGCCTGAGAGGAAGAGTGAAACTCCATCTCAAAAAAAAAAAAAAAAAAAAAAAAATCTCTGCAAAACAAAATAAGCCAAAATCAGGAAACCTAGTTTTTTAAATTGTCAAAAGACAAACAGGTACTCCAGAAAAGAATATAGCCAAAGAGCCAATAAACATTTTATTTATTTTACCTGGGCTCAAGTGATTCTCCTACCTCAGCCTCTGGAGTAGCTAGGATACAGGCATGCGCCACATGCCCAGCTCATTTTTTTTGTAGAGATGGAGTCTTGCTCTTTCGCCCAGGCTGGAGTGCAGTGGTGCGTCTTGGCTCACTGCAAGCTCTGCCTACCAGGTTCATGCCATTCTCCTGCCTCAGCCTCCTGAGTAGCTGGGACTACAGGCGCCCACCACCATACTTGGCTCATTTTTTTGTATTTTTAGTAGAGATGAGGTTTCACCGTGTTAGCCAGGATGGTCTCGATCTCCTGACCTCGTGATCCGCCCACCTTGGCCTCCCACAGTGCTGGGATTACAGGCGTGAGCCACCGCACCCAGCCTTTTTTTTTTTTTTTTTTTTAGTAGAGACAGGGTTTCACCAAGTTGGCC
>NT_167246.2:3445247-3547835 GCF_000001405.40 Homo sapiens
GGCCAGGATGGTCTCGATCTCTTGACCTTGTGATCCACCCACCTCGGCCTCCCAAAGTGCTAGAATTACAGGTGTGAGCCACCACACCCGGCCAGTGTTACTATTTTCTTAGTGTTTATACAGGTTTAGGTTATATGCCTACATGCAGTATGGCATTCACCAAAGTCTATCAGTAACTAATTTTGTTTCAACTAGAGGGTCAGAGGCAAAAAAATTCTTGCTAAGTCTGATTAAGCTGTGAGGGCCCCAGTACCTTCAAGGCCTGTTTACTGTGGTACCAGAGTGATTATTTCTATCTTATCTCCTTTACAGCTTGGTGCGGAGAGCTGCCTTAGATTGTCCAGTGAATCTATTCAAACAGCTGCCTCTGTTACCTTGACTTGTCTCAGATATCGTCGACCCGAGACGAGTCCTGGCACTAGGAATGTAAGGCTGTCTCTGTTATTTTGACTTGCTCCAGCAAGGGAGAAGCCCATGCAAGGCTCTTACTCACCATGTGTTTCATTTCTAGCTTTGATGTCTGTACACCAATTCCCCTAGGTTTAACTATTTGCTCAATGTTAAGGCAATGCTGTGGAAATCTGTCTGTGTAACTGGGGTGCTATGCAGGCCTGTCTGTGTGACTGTCAGGGAGAATTGGCCTGCCACAAACTGACCCTTGACCATTGGGTTTAGAAACTTGGAGGTCATTTGTGACTCTGACATGTGGTTTAAGTAAAGTGGTGGGGATGAGAGCCTGATTGAGAGAAATTCAAGAGTGAATGAGAGGTGAGAAAGTAGAGGCAGTGAGAAGTTTTGTTAAGTGGAGAGAGAAGTGGAACACTGAGGGAGTGAGCTGGGTCAGGGAAGAGTTTTTAAATTTAAAAATAAATGCATTATTTTATACATATAAAATTATAATTTATATGCATAAATATATATGTATTACAAAGAATAATTTTGTGAACATCAGGCAGCTTATGAAGTAAAATCTTCCCATCAGGGCAAGGTGGCTCACACCTGTAATCCCAGCACTTTGGGAGGCTGAGGTGGGCGGATCACCTGAGGTCAGGAGTTGGAGACCAGCCTGGCTAACATGGTGAAATCCTGTCTCTACTAAAACATTAGCCAGGTGTGGTGGTGCGTGCCTATAATCCCAGCTACTTGGGAGGCTGAGGCAGGAGAATCGCTTGAACCCGGGAGGCGGAGGTTGCAGTGAGCTGAGATCGTGCCATTGCACTCCAGCCTGGGTGACAGAGGGAGACTCCATCTCAAAAAAAAAAAAAAAAAAAAAAGAAAGCAAAAACAAGAGGTAAAATCTTCCCCAGTATAGTTAAGGCTCCCTGAATTTCCCTTTCCAGATTGCTTTTCTGCCAAAGGGTAAGCACCATTCTCTGAATGTTGTGCTTTTACTACCTAGGTGAGTAGCGAAACAGTTTTTTTCTTTCTTTTCAGAGATGAAGTATAATTTTATAGCATGTTTGCATAATGATGGGAGTGTTGCAGTACAGAGGGGTAAACTGATTAAGTGAGAGAGAGAGAGATAGGGGATAATTTCAGGAATAACATCTCTGAGCAGGTGAGAGGGAACAGGATCCCGGGGTACAGATGAGGTGGCAGGTGGGTGCATGTCAGCTTCTCTGCGGTAGAGTTGCAGGTAGACTGGTGAATTTGGGGTGGGAACATGAGGAAGTTCCCTTCTGAAAGTTTCTGTTTTCTCACTGAAATAGGAAGAAAAGTCATCATCTTGTGAAGTTGTGGTCTCAGATTTGGGGAATGTGAACTGAGTAGGGAAAGGCGAGCTGGCATGCCACACTGAGGGCCCGCAGGAAGCAAGACCAGTCAGTATGACTGTGTGTTTCTCCCCAGCTGTTGAATGCAGGTGTGGAGCAGGCAGAGTGGGATTTGACCAGGGATAAAATGTGCCAGAGGAAGGGGGGCCAGGAGTACAGGGTGAGGGCTGAGAGGCGATTACCGTGTTGAACCTTGGAATCTAAACTGGGTAATGAGGAAAGTGAAGAATTGAGATCAAACAATGAAAAGTAAGTTAGTGGATGGGAGGCCCAGATGGGGTTGAAGAATTTTTGGGATAGGGGTACTGGGGAGCAACATGAAAAGACTGAGGATGAGATTTTAGAAGGGCAGTAGGTATTGGTGGCAACCAAGTTGAAGGTATGACATAGGGCGAGAGGGAAGCAGGGAGAAATAAATCACTGCAAGAGAAGGGCAGGGTGCTAGAGAATCTGCATGAACATTGAAAACAAAAATAATAAAACGGGGCCAGGCACTGTAGCTCATGCCTATAATCCCGGCACTTTGGGAGGCTGAGGCAGGCAGATTGTGTGAATTCAGGAGTTCGAGACTGTCCTGGGCAACACAGTGTGACCTCATCTCTATTAAATATCAAAGGCCAGAGGCCAGGCGCAGTGGTTTATGCCTGTAATCCCAGCACTTTGGAAGGCCGAGGCGGGTGGATCACGAGGTCAAGAGTTTGAGACCAGCCTGACCAATATGGTGAAACCCCATTTCTACTAAAAATACAAAAAATTAGCCGGGCATGGTGGCACACGCCGGTAATCCGAGCTACTCAGGAGGCTGAGGCAGGAGAATCGCTTGAACCTGGGAGGCAGAGGTTGCAGTGAGCTGAGATGGCACCATTGCACTCCAGCTTGGGCAACAAGAGCAAAATTCCGTCCAAAAAAAACAAAAACAAACGAACAAAAAAACAGGCCAGGGGCGGTGCCTCAAGCCTGTAATCCTAGCACTTTGGGAGGGTGAGGAGGGCGGATCACCAGGTCAGGAGATTGAGACCATCCTGGCTAACACGGTGAAACCCCGTCTCTACTAAAAATACAAAAACAAAATTAACTGGGCATGGTGGCGGGTGCCTGTAGTCCCAGCTACTTGGGAGGCTGAGGTGGGAGGCGGGAGAATGGCATGAACCCGGGAGGCAGAGCTTGCAGTGAGCCGAGATCGCACCACTGCACTCCAGGCTAGGCGACAGGGTGAGACTCTGTCTCAAAAAAAAAAAAAAAAAAACCCAAAATTTATCCGGGCGTGGTGGCAGGCGCCTGTAATCCTAGCTACTCAGAGGCTGAGGCAGAGAATTGCTTGAATCCAGGAGGCAAGGTTGCAGTGAGCTGAGATTGTGCCACTGCACTCCAGTCTGGGCGACAGAGCCAGACTCCATCTCAAAAAAAAAAAATAAAATAAAAATAAAAAAAATTAGCTGGGAGGATCACTTGAGACCGGGAGATCGAAGCTCAGTGAGCTATGATCCTGCTGCTGCACTCCAGCCTGGGTGACAGAGCGAGACCCTGCCTCAGAAAAAAAAGAAAAAAGAAAAAGAGGCTGGGCTCGGTGGCTCACGTGTGTAATCCCAGCACTTTGGGAGGCCGAGGTAGGCAGATAACCTAAGATCAGGAGTTCAAGACCAGCCTGGCCAACATGGTGAAACCCTGTCTCTAGTAAAAATACAAAAATTAGCTGGGCGTGGTGGCAGATGCCTGTAATCACACCTACTAAGGCTGAGGCAGGAGAATCTATTGAACTCAGGAGGCGGAGGTTGCAGTGAGACGAGATTGCGCCACTGCACTCCAGCCTGGGCGAGAAGAGCAAAACTCCATCTCAAAAATAAATAAATAAATAATAAAAAGAAGAAAATGAAATGAGCGGTGGAAGTAGAGTGATCAGGTGCTGAATCTTCCATTGTAGAGGGGGAATGATGACCCAGAATCTAATCATGGTTTTCCCCCATCTGTATGAGAGCACCCATACAGATGTTATGGGAGGGCAGAGCCTCTCCTAGAGGATGGAGTCTCTGTCAGTAGAGGTGCCACAGCCAAGGGTATCACCTGCAGAGGGAGGTGAGTCAGATAGGAAGAGGATCACATTGTAACTTTTTTTTTTTTTTGAGACGGAGTCTCGCCCTGTTGCCCAGGCTGGAGTGCAGTGGCACAATCTCGGCTCACTGCAAGCTCTGCCTCCGGGATTCACACCATTCTCTTGCCTCAGCCTCCCAAGTGGCTGGGACTACAGGTGCCTGCCACCACACCCAGCTAATTTTTTGTATTTTTAGTGGAAATGGGGTTTCACCGTGTTAGCCAGGATGGTCCTGATCTCCTGACCTCGTGATCCGCCCATCTCGGCCTCCCAAAGTGCTAGGATTACAGGAGTGAGCCACCGCGCCCGGCCACACATTGTAACATTTTATTTCCTCATGAGGGAGGAGTCTGGGTGAGGTTAAGAGATCTGAGATTAAGAAACAAACATTCCTAAGGAAAAGCAAAAGAAAGCTAAGTCATTTTTTATTCATCTCTCCCTTTGCCTGATTCCTTTCAATTCAATTGAGTTCAAAGATTGGTAGAGGAGGTTTTATCTGATGAGGATCTGAAAAACAGAGATAAGCCAGATTTGACTCTTGCCTTCAAGTAGCTCACAAGGTAAACTGTGTATGTCAAGATATCAGGTGGGAAGAGATGAGAAAATATGCAGATAACATGAATCTTAGATCTAGATACTTTTCTCCTAAAGAAAATTGCCCGGGTTGAAGTCATTTTTTGGCCTTTCCATTCTCCCTGGGTGGTCCTTAAAGTGTCTGTAAACCTGTGATTCCCAACCTTGGCTGCCCTTTGGAATCACCTGGTTATGTCTTAAATACTGATGCCAGAGTTCCACCCCCAGAGATTCTTTTTTGTTTGTTTTGAGATAGGGTCTCACTCTGTTGCCCAGGCTGGAGCACCGTGTTCTGATCACTGAAGCCTCTGCCCCTCAGGCCCAAGCAATCCTCCCGTCTCACCCTCCCAAGTAGCTAAGACTACAGGTGAGCCATGGGGCTCGGCTAAATTTTTTTTTTCTTTTTCTTTTTGAGACTGAGTGCCTCTCTGCCACCCAGGCTGGAGTGCAGTGGTGCAATCTGGGCTCACTGCAACCTCCGCCTCCTAGGTTCAAGCGATTCTTCTGCCTCAGCCTCCTGAGTAGCTGGGATTACAGGCATGTGCCACCATACCCGGCTGATTTTTGCAGTTTTAGTGGAGACGGGGTTTCACCACGTTGGCCAGGCTGGTCTTGAACGCCTGACCTCAGGTGATCCACCCACCTCGGCCTCCCAAAGTGCTGAGATTATATGTGTGAGCCACCGCGCTCGGCCTAGGCTAATTTTTTTTTTTTTTTTTTTTTTGAGACGGAGTCTCGCTCTGTTGCCCAGGCTGGAGTGCATGGCACGATCTCGGCTCACTGCAAGCTCCACCTCCCGGGTTCATGCCGTTCTCCTGCCTCAGCCTCCTGAGTAGCTGGGACTACAGGCACCTACCACCACACCCAGCTAATTTTTTTGTATTTTTAGTAGAGACGCGGTTTCACCATGTTAGCCAGGATGGTCTCGATCTGGCCTAGGCTAGTTTTTAAACTTTCTTGTAGAGATGGGGTCTCACCATATTGCCCAGGCTAGTCTCGAACTCCTGGGCTTAAACGATCCTCCTGCCTCGACTTCCCAGAGTGCTGAGATTACAGGTGTGAGCCACTGGCACTGAGCCCAGAGATTCTGATTTAATTGTTTTAGGATGCGACATGGGCTTTCAGATTTTTCAGTGCTCCCCAGTGGATTCTAATGTGTAACCTGGGGTAAGAACCGTTGCTCCAAGGAATGCCTGAAGCTCTGTTTGGAAACCCACTGCTTTAATCTAACCCAGAGGAAAGAGAGACACCTTTTTGCTACAGTGAGGGATGAATTGATCCGGACTTTGAAAGATATTGTAAATAAAATTTGACCAAGTAGAGAGGCAGATGTCAAGAGGGGGAGAACATCATGAGCAAGAGCCTAGATGTGGTCTAAAGCCTCTGAAATTTGTGACAAGCTGCAAACAATTTGGTTTATAATAGGCAGAGATTTGGGAAGGAGGTCTAAGATTTGGGAACAGCTGGGCAAATACCTGGAGGTGGGAATGATGAGTAATTCAGTATGGTTAGAAATTAGAATGAACAGAGAAGCTGGATGATTTTAAATTATGGAAGGTGTTAAAGGCCAGATTAAAATTTTGTAAATAATTGAGTAGGCAATAGGGAACCTTGAAGGGCTTTTGAGCAGTGGAGTTATGAAAGTGTGTTTAGGGAGGCTGATCTGACAATAGTGTGGAGGGAGACTTGAGGTAGGGAGAAGTAGGAAGTAGGGAGACCTGTTGGGAAAGCTGATGCAATAATCCTAATGAGGTAATTTTTCCAGCAAGGGCTGGGGAAAAATTACAGATTCAAAAGACATTGTGGTGGCAGAACTGACTAGGCTTGAGAGCACACCAAAAATAAGGCAGGAGGGAGAGGGAGGAGGCGGCAAATTTCTAGATAAGGAAGAGTGATTGGGAAAATGGTCTATTAACAGAGACAGGGAAGCAGGTTTTCTGTGGCATTTCATCAGTTTGTTTTGGAATGTGTTGATTTTAGAGGACCAGCAAGCATCTTCCATGTGGCTATGATCTTCAGGCACTGGAAAAAACGTCTGCATGTAAAATACAGGTTGGAAAAGCATTTGATTAGCTGAGTTGAGTGAATGAGCTTTTCAAAGGAAAGTCTCAGAGAAGGAAAAAAAATCAGAGATGGACACTTAGGGGAAGGGAGGAGAAAAAGCAAGGAGGGAAGGCAGAGGCGGAATGGTTAGAGGTCTGTGTGTGTGTCGGGGGAAGGGAGGTAATACGTTCTTGAACCTGGGTATGTGGGGAATTCAGGGTCAAGGGACAAACATGGGAGGGCTTAGAGAGGCAGAATACTGTGAAAATGCCATTGATTTGGGATCTGGGTAATTGGTTGCCATTTGAGAGGGAGGTTTCAGGAGAATAGGGTGTGGATGCATATTCCAATAAGTCAAGAAATAGTGGGTATGAAAAAAAGACAGATACAGACATATCTCTGATAGCAATATTCCGCACCCCCCTGCCCCTTTTTTTTTGAGATGGAGTTTCGCTCTTGTTGCCCAGGCTGGAGTGCAATGACTTGATCTTGGCTCACTGCAACCTCCGCCTCCCAAGTTCAAGCGATTCTCCTGCCTCAGCCTTCCAAGTAGCTGGGACTGCAGGTGCCCGTCACCATGCCCGGCTAATTTATTATTTTTAGTACAGATGGGGTTTCACCATGTTGGCCAGGCTGGTCCCGAACTCCTGACCTCAAGTGATCCGCCTGCCTTGGCCTCCCAAAGTGCTGGAATTACAGGTGTTAGCCACCGTGCCCAGCCGTGAATTCTGTTTTTCAAGAAGTTTGGTAAGGTAGGCACATTAAATGCGAAACATCCAAGGGCGAACCCATGATATTCACACCTCACCCCACCCTCCTCCCACATCTCCTATCACATTTCCTATCTCAGTGCATGGCTTCCCTTCTAGATTGTAAGCTCCATGAGGTCAGGGGTCACACCTGCTGTCTGGGTGGATGTCTCACCAGCATCCAGCATGGAGTCTGCATGTTGCATAAATGCATAAATTAGGTTAGGACCCTGTCCTGTGGGTGTACAACCAAAGACCCAAGCCCACTGCTGGCAGCATCCCCTAATCACCACTCCCCTCAGAAAAGAGGCCTATTGGTTGACCTCAGGATAGGAGAGGGCAACTAGTCCCAGGGAGACTTGAGAGGCCATTGACCTCCTCCCTGGGCTCCCACAGCAATCTGCTCTCTTTGCCTTTCCTATACCCCCTACAGTCCAGCATGTGGGGCTCTAATCCAAGTTATCTGCCACCCTCCAGCCCACAGTCAGGAACAGCTATGGGCAGCTGGCATCTCTTCTTGGCCCCCATCACTCTATCCTTGACCAGCTTCTTCACCATGGTCTGCCCTCTCTGTTCTCTTGTCTTCCTGGAGTTCTGGGGATAGTAGGGAATGGAAAAGGGGTACTGGGGAAATAAAGCCTCACTAAGAAAATAAAGCCTCACTGAGAATGGACCCCAAGGTCTTCCTTGGTGGATTCCCAGGGAGCTCCCCTCCGTCCCCCATATTCACGTGTCTCTCTGGCGATCTGGGAATCTGTGTCCCTCACGTTAGTCTCTGTCGGGTTTTCTTTTTTTTTCCTTGGAAGAGGAGATGAAGGGAAGTGAAAGGCGGAATCAAAAGTGGGGAGGGTCTTTGCGGGGCCGCAGTCTTTGGAATTGCGGGCGATAAATCAACTAAGTCTCTTTAATATTGTCTTTCAGAAGTTCACACACACTCACACACAGATCAGAACAAGGCGGGGCCGCCGAGGGGAGCGGGGAGCGGGGACTTGGGAGGTCCATAGCCTGGATTCCCTTCTGCCCGGCTGCCCAGGGGCTGGGATGGGTGGAAGGGAGTATTTACAGAGCGTTTACAGGCAGGTTTCTTATCCCAGGGAGAAGGGTCCTACACCAGGAACTTCCCAAATGTCCTTAAAAAAAGCAAAAGGAAAGGTTCTGGGATTAGCAAGAAAATAGGCAGATACCTGGGTGGAGGAGGGACAAAAATGTACTTGCAAAAAACAGGAGTGTGGGGGCCTTACTACCCCAGGGCTCGGTCCTTTTGCCGGAAGAAAGGGAGGGGTCTGTCCGTCTGTGGGCGAGGCCTGGAGCCACAAACCCAATCACTGGACTGAATCACCCCGCGGAGAAGAAAAGAAGGCGGAGCCTGCCGACCTGGAGGCGGGGTTTTGTCAGAGCTGGGGCGGTGCTTATAGAGGAGGCGGGGTTTTAGGGACCAAACCGAGGTTGCTCGGTTGGGGGCGCTACACTTTGAGGGTGAGGGGGCCTGGAGCGACTGAGGGTCCGGCGTTTGGCCGGGATCCCGGAAAGCGGCGTCCCTGGGGGTGTGGGTTTTGGAGGGGTTCCTGAGGAACTGGATTCCGAGCTTGCTCGCAAGGCGAGACGTTCCGTGGAGGCGGAGTTTACGATGTATCCAAGTCTGACGGCCCCAGAAACGGGTGTGCAGGGCGCCCATTGGGTCCGCGGTATGACTGCAGAAAGAGCCTGGGAGATCGAGGGGCGCAGAGTGGGGCCGGACCAGGGGCGTTTTTAGGGATCCCAGTAGTTCTCGTGGTGCTGCGCGGCGATGATGATGACTACGGTGAGGATGGTACAGAGCACCATGGCCGCGATGCCCACGGCCAGGGAGATGAAGGAGAAGTTCCGGGCCTCGCGTGAAGCGATCTCGGCCGACACCATGTCTCCGCGGGCCAAGGCCGTGCGCACCTACGGAGGAGGGGTGGGGGAAGGAGGTCAAAGAGCTGCGGCCTCGTTCGAACGCCTCAGCCTTTCTCTAAGATGGTCCCCAGAACGCCCAGAACTCCCTGTCCCCGCCCCCAAACCGAGTATGCCCCTGCCCCCTACCTGCACGGCCTTGAAGATGGCAATGATGCCAGTAGGCCAGAAGCAACAGATGGTGGTCAGCACCGCGATGGGCATGTAGTCGTGTGGCGGGCGCCTCGGCTCCAGTAGGGCCAGCCCTGGGCCCTGGGGCGGCGGGGGGAGAGTGGAGGTCACTCCTGTTCCCCCCGGGGTCCCGCCTGCATATGGCTGTGGAAGGAAATTTGGGGGGCAGGGGCATCACTCTGACCCTCTCCCAGCCTACCAGCGTTGGGCGGCTGGCAGAGTGGCTTTAAAAGCACAATTTTTACCTATGGCTTCTCAAAATAAAGCACCCATTACCCTTCCAGGACACCCATAAATTCCACCTAAGCCCCTCTCCTCCCTTCCTTGCTTCATTAACCACCATATTCTTGGGCTTTCTACATTCTCTCCCGCAAGGTATGGTCCCACTGGGGCTGTCCTGGCCTCAGGTCAGACCTTCTTTCTTCCCTCCAGACACCTACCAGGCCTCCCCTACCCCCTTAGTCCCAGGCTTCTCCCACATCCCTCTTGGTTCCCAGCTTCCATTCCCCCCGTCCCCCGCCAGGCGGTTTCCTACTTTCAGACCTCCTCTGAACCTCTAGGCTCCGATCCCCCTCCCAGGCCCTGACTCTGGGCACCAGTAGACTCCTACTCCCGTGTCTCTCCCTAGTCCTTCCTGTCTCAGGCTCCCTTCTTTCTAGGGCTTGTCCCGGGAACACTACCTGTTCCCTGCCCTTGTTCCTCTATCCTACCAGCCCCCAGCGTATCCCCAATTTCAAGTCCTGTATCGCGTCCCCCTCTTTCCCATGTCCCTGTCTGCCCGGCACTCACCGTGCCCACCGGGTAGACCGGCACGTAAGCAGTGCAAGGCTGCAGCTGCAGGGGGTATCCGGGCGCTACGTAGCCCCCCAGCGGCAGCGTGCCCACAGTCCCCGCGTGCGTGGGCACCACGAAGCCAGGGGCCTGGGCAGTCTGGGCTGGCGCCGGCGGGGGCGGGGCGGCGGCAGCGGGCGGCGGCGGGGGAAGTGGGCCCTCGAAGCGAGTCTCCTGCAGGTAAGGGTCGGGTGGCATGCGGGGCAAGGTAGCGCAGCCGGGTGGGGGTGCCCCGGCAGCAGGGCCGGGAGGGGCGTGGTGGGGGGGCCTCGGCAGCGTGGCAGAGGAGGAGGGACCGCGCTGAGCGGTGGCCGCGGAAGAGGCCAGGCCCCCTGCCCCTAAGCGCGGGAGGGTGGCGGTGCCAGACTGATGGTAGTGGTGGTGGTGGTGATGGTGTGAGGAAGGGGCTGCCTGTGGCGGTGGGGCTGGGGGTTCGGCTGGAGGCTGAGGGGCATTGTAGGGCGGCGGAGAAGTGTGAGGGACTGAGTCTGGGAGTCCTGGGGGAGGTGAGTGGAGGAGAGTATAAGAGGAAAGATGACACAGTGATGAGTTGAGGAGGGGGTAAGGGGAAACACAGCCGGTCAGGGATGGAGAAAGATAATGGGAGAGACACATAGAGAGAGACGGGTGAGAAACCATCTCTAATTTGAGGGGCAAGAGAGGGGCTGTATCTAGGCCATCTGCCCCCCTCCTTCTTCCTTCCAATCTAGTTTTGAGGTCACAACTCTGGTCTGCTTCTTTTCTGTCTTTTTCATCACCATGCACCCAGCTCTCACCTGCAGACCTAATCCCCTCTCCTTTGCTATAGCTGCCTTTGGGCTGGCCTATCCGAGCTAGTCCTGTGTGTGCGTATGCGTAGACATGCAACCCTGTGTTAATATGTGCTCAATTCAACAGTTGTATAAACACATGTGGGATGACATGTGTTCCACTCTGCTGTTCCTTCAGTGGGGGGAGGAGTGCCCCAGCCTCTGTGAGAATCTCGGGACCTCTTTTAGGGCAGATTAAGAAGAGCCCTCTGGATTTTGCTCCCTTGACAACCCCCATCTGGTCATGTCTCCATATTTCCTCACAGGATGTCTCCATGCCAGCCAGTGATTGTCCATCTGTCACTCCCAATGATGCCATCCCTGCAAAACCTGGCTGTACCTCCTTCACCCTCTCAACCTACCCCCCTGACCATGTTGTTGGCAAGGGGCAGAGGCTGCCACTGGAAAGAGGAAAGGAAGAGAAAGGGGGAGACAGAAAGAGGAGGGGGACTGGGGGAGTGTTGAGAGCTGGAGAGAAGGGGAATGAAATAGAACCACAGCTGAGGAGGGGTAAGGGAGGGGGTTGGGGCAAGGGGGACGGAGAGTCTGGAGACAGTGGAGGGGGTGGGAGGTTTTGTTATTGTTTTTACCTGACTTTTCGGATGACATGCCTGCGGTCTCGCTGGGACAGGGTCCCTGCAGCCGGAGTGGGGGTCCTCGGCCGGTGCTGGAGTCTGGGTGCTGGATGGCGCAGCCGGCAGCAGCGCAGAGATGGAGAGATGAAGGCAGCGGCGGGGGGGGGGGGCGGGGGGGGCGGGCGGAGGGAGAGCGGGGAGGGGGGGAGCTTAAAGGGACCGAGGCGAGGGAGGGGGAGCGCTTCAGATGTTTCCCACTCGGTCTCTCTCTGCTCTCGGACCACCTCTCTCCTCCTCTTACCCCGGCATTCAAGCCCCCAGTTTGGGCTCCTTTGGAGTTGTCATGGAAACACGGAGGCTAGACCAGGCGAGGCGGGTGGGACTAAGGAAAGGAAGGAAGGAGAACTCTCTGGAGTCTCCCCCACCAAGACTCAGTGATTGTATTGTGGGAGGAAGTGAACAGGTTCTCAGTGGAGTTAATAACCCAGGTGCCTCCAGAGGCAGGTCGTCTCCCCCTCTTAGCTCCCTGCAAGGTGCCAGGGTCTTCTCCCAAATCCTTGGCCCCAGTTTCCTCCTCTTTAGAAGAGATAAATACTTGTGTGTGAGAGAGAATTGTGCAGAGTTCAGAACTGCGATGGTCTGAAAAGTTCCCAGGGTTTGGTGAACCTACCAACCTAGCAGTAAAGAGGGAGGCCCAGGTCTGTAAATCAGGGGGAGCTGGGCCTTGGAGGGAAAAGGGAGAGAGAGTTTGGGCGGTGTGCATACATACCTTCTTCGTCCAGGACTAAGGAGCTGAAGCTCTTTTGGAGGGGGTAGGGGGTATGACTTAACTGCTCATTTCTGGCAGCTCTGTTGGTAATGTGTGCTTGTTCCCCCACTTTCCCTTTGCTTTTGAGGCTGCTTAGAGTCTCTGGGCTGGTCAATGTTCAGATCCATTCCCTAAACCCCCCTACTCCCACCCACCACCTCCCACCAAGACGCATCTCCAGCTCCTGAGTCGACCTGCAGTACAGCGTTATTAGTCTTTTTATTTGCTTATTGCATCTTGGGAGCGCGTGGGTGGGTGAAGGGAGCGAGGATAGGAAGTCTATGGAGATTTACACCAGTTTTTTTTTTTTTTTAAACAAAAACACAGCCAGATAATCATTATTCTTCCCTTACGTCCCCCCAGCCCCCACCTGGGGCAGTCGCTCTCCCGGCTGCGTCCCTTTTCGTCCATGTCCTAGCAGAGACTACAGAGCAGTACAGAGGCTCTCGCTGAAACCAGTCCCAGGCTCCACAGAGTCAGATCACGGCTTCACACCAGTCGTTCTGGTCACTTAGGCGTTCGCGTGAGCGCTCAACCCCTTACCGCCACCTCATCGTCACTCTACACCATTCTGAGCGCAAAAATGTTTTGATTGAGACAAATTTAGACCAAGCAATGACCTTGTAAACAGAGAGAGGGGCTCAGACATGCTGAGAAATCCTTATCTCTAGAGAAACGTCTTTAAATGCTAAGTAAAAGCCCTAGCAAGTAAAAGCCCTGAGGCACTAGGGTGTCGGTTAGGGGTCACAGGCGGAGAGGTGGGGCGCCTGGGGGTTTCGGTAGGGAGCCACCCACAGATAACTCAGACAGCCAGATTCTGGGGGTCGTTCAGGTTGAAAGACTGGTCGAAATTACGCGGGCATGAGTCAGCGCATCCCTACGCGCCCTCCGCCCCTTGAGGGTGGGTCGCTTATAGGGAGGGGAGTAGAGTAGGGCAGGAGAAACTGGGCCAGGCTGCACTTAGCTCAAGGGGCCTCGAGGACTCTCTGCGTCTCTGGAGACAAGGGCACTACACGCACTTCAGAATGAAGAGTTGTAAGTCGCTGACCTGGGGCGGACTGGAGGGTGGGGTGGGGTGGGTGTTGAGGGGCACGCCCGGGCTGGCATCAGCCCTCCAGGCCACCCTGCCACTCACCCAGCACACGGCAAAATGCAGAGGACTACCTTTCCCTGGTCCGCCCCCTGGCCGCCCCTTGGGGAATGCAAACTTCGTGTTCTGCTGCGGAGCCAGACGCCTGTATTGGGAAGTGGGGAGAATCAAGGCGGGGAAATCGGACTTTCGGGTCGCTGGGGGCAACGAAGCCTGGAGAGGCCTTCTTTCCATTCCCAGAATATGTTTGCTGCTTTTTCCTCTCCCCACTGGCCTAAATGGATCGCTCCGCCTGTTTCCTCCCCAGCACCTAGGGCGCAATGGAATATTCCATTGCCCCTCCTGTCCTGGGTCTGTGTTGCGGGGAACGCTCGCGCGGTTGCCAGAGAAAGCCCCGGACGTGACGGATTTGCGCGACCCCAAGCAGCCCGCCCTTCCCCCTCCCATCCGTCATTCCCCTGCGTTCTCTTTCCTCACCCTTCCCCCCGCCACCGTGGGTTCCAGACTTGGGATAAGTAAACAGCGGGTGGAGCGAGGCCTACGGACCCAGGCCAGGTGGGAGTCTGCACTCTTCAAGGGGCCTGGGCTGCTGCTCACGGGTATTAAAGAACTCCGCGTTGTTCATGGCTGAGGCGATGCATTAGGAAGATCCTGGACCTAGAGAACAAGTCCCCCGAACGCTGAGTTGGAGGCGGGACTTCGGGTGCGCGTTGGTGCGTCAACGTGGTGGGGGGGTGTGTTTGTAGGGAGAGGGCTGGAGTAAGTTAAAAGTAGGCTATTTTGTGACACGGACCTGGTGTGGGAGCGAGAGGAGGTGGCTTGATTGCCGGGCGTCTGTTCCGAGGGAGGAGGGTGTTGCCATCTCCCTCACATGCCCTTATCACCCCTTTCTCAGGCGGGAGCATGCTGGGGCTCTGGGGGCAGCGGCTCCCCGCGGCGTGGGTCCTGCTTCTGTTGCCTTTCCTGCCGCTGCTGCTGCTTGCAGCCCCCGCGCCCCACCGCGCGTCCTACAAGCCGGTCATCGTGGTGCATGGGCTCTTCGACAGCTCGTACAGCTTCCGCCACCTGCTGGAATACATCAATGAGGTCTGGCAGGGGACACCTGGGTGCAGGGCGTTAGAGGCGTCTACTGTGGCAGGGGAGGGAGAGCGGGGAACTGAAAGCCACCCCTCTGGGCCTGCCCAGTTCCTCAGGGAGCTGGTGCTGGCGTGGGGGAGAGTTGGGGGACGGGATCCCTGGTTCTAGCAGGGTACAATAGACCTGTGGACGCGGGCCAGGGGGTGGCGTGTGGGAGCTTCTTAGCCTATCCCCGGTGGCTGCATTGCCCCCTTCCCACAGACACACCCCGGGACTGTGGTGACAGTGCTCGATCTCTTCGATGGGAGAGAGAGCTTGCGACCCCTGTGGGAACAGGTGCAAGGGTTCCGAGAGGCTGTGGTCCCCATCATGGCAAAGGCCCCTCAAGGGGTGCATCTCATCTGCTACTCGCAGGGTAGGCGACTCCCCTGCCCCTAACTCCTAAGCCCTATCTGAGGCTTGATCCTTATCTGAGGGACACTTCCTAGCGTCCCTTTTTCTGAACCACATTGCTCCAGGCACAACCCTGGTACCTGAGCCCTTCCTTTCTGACTTCCCTCAGCACCTGGGTCTCATCTCTGTCTTGAATGGGAGGGAGGCTCCCTACACTGCTGCCCTTTTGCTTCCTGTTACCCATGGTTCTTGGACATAAGGGCTAATGGGGCAGGTAAAAACATCCTAGAACTAGAGGCAGGAGGCCCAGCATCTAATTCGGGCTCAGTCACTTATATGATGTGTGACCTTTTGGCACAGGGTGTGCCTGCCTTCTGTAAGCCTCAGTCTCCTTTGTGTACAGTGTATGTCTGTGTGTGTCTCTGTGTGTGTGTGTGTGGTGGGGGTGGGGGGTGCTGCTGGCTTTGCTGTCCTTAAGTGCCTGCCCAATGTGGTGTTCTGCTTACAGGGGGCCTTGTGTGCCGGGCTCTGCTTTCTGTCATGGATGATCACAACGTGGATTCTTTCATCTCCCTCTCCTCTCCACAGATGGGACAGTATGGAGGTGAGTGGGCACTAGACTCCATAGAATGCCCTGAGTTTTGGGGGAACAGAGGTTTATGGTCACTTAGCATTGCCATTCGCTTGCCAGACACGGACTACTTGAAGTGGCTGTTCCCCACCTCCATGCGGTCTAACCTCTATCGGATCTGCTATAGCCCCTGGGGCCAGGAATTCTCCATCTGCAACTACTGGCATGGTGAGTGGGGATGCTGAACTGGGGCTTCCATGGATCAGGTCAGTTGCTTCCACCTCTGCTACAACCAATAGCAGTGATGACAATAAAGATAACTTACATTTATTGAGTTATTTGAACAGGCTCTGTTCAGAATTTTTTTTTTTTTTGAGACGGAGTCTTGTTCTGTTGCCCAGGCTGGAGTGCAGTGCACCATCTCGGCTCACTGCAACCTCCGCCTCCCAGGTTCAAGTGATCCTCCTGCCTCAGTCCCCCTAGTAGCTGGGATTACAGGCAGGCGCCATCATGCCCGGCTAAGTTTTGTATTTTAAGTAGAGATGGAGTTTCGCCATGTTGGCCAGGCTGGTCTCGAACTCCTGACCTCAGGTGATCCACTCGCCTCGGCCTCCCAAAGTGCTGGGATTACAGGTGTGAACCATTGCACCTGGCCCAGAATGTTTTAAGTGTGTCACCTTATTGCCTTAGAAGGTTTAGTCTGATGTGGGAGTCAGCAAACCTTGTCTATAAAGGGCCAGAGAGTAAATATTTTTGACTTTGTAGGACATATAGTCTGTTTCACAACTCCTCAATTCTGCTGTTGTAGTGTGAAAGCAGCCATGTACCATATGTGAATGAATGTGCCTGTGTTCCAGTAAAACTTCATTTACAAAAACAAGTAGCAGGCTGGATTTGGTCCTTTGGTCACAGTTTGCCAACCTCTAGACCAGACCATGGGGCCAGAATACTTGGGTTTGAATCTTGACCCTATTGGGTGCCTTTGGGCAAGTTACTTAACCATTCTGTTACTCAGTTTTCCTTATCTGTAAAATATTATAGCATGTACTTCACCAGGTGGTTGTAAGGATTAAATAAATAAATGAATGCAATGTACTTTGAATAGTACCTGGCTCATATAGTAGATACTAGATAGAAGTACTTGCTATTGCCAGGTGTGGTGGCTCACACCTGTAATCCCAATATCTTGGCAGGGGGAGGTGGGCGCATCACCTGAGGTCGGGTTCGAGACCAGCCTGGCCAACATGGTGAAACCCCATCTCTACTAAAAATACAAAAAAAATTTAGCTGAATGTGGGCACACGCTTGTAATCCCAGCTACTCAGGATGCTGAGTCAGGAGAATTGCTTGAACCCGGGAGGCAGATGTTGCAGTGAGCGGAGATCCTGCCACTGCACTTCAGCCTGGGTGACGGAGTGAGATTTCATCTAAAAAAAAAAAAGTACTTGTTACTATGTTTACGGTTGTTATCACTACTATTATTATTTTGAGATGGAGTCTCACTGTGTCTCCCAGGATGGAGTGCAGTGGTGCAGTCTCGGCTCACTGTAACCTCCACCTCCTGGGTTCAAGTGATTCCAGCGCCCCGAGTAACTGGGATTACAGGCATGCACCACCACGCCTGGCTAACTTTTGTATTTTTAGTAGAGACAGGGTTTCGCCATGTTAGCCAGGCTGGTCTCAAACTCCCGACTTCAAGTGATCCACCTGCCTCTACCTCCCAAAGTGCTGGGATTACAGGTGTGAGCCACCGCACCTGGCCTACATTATCACTACTATTTTATTACTATCCACCTTGACTATTGCTGCAGCTTCCTTATTGGGCTTTTCACCACCAGTCTTGCCTCCCTTTTCTGCTTCTTTTTCTAACTGCTGTTTGTACCCAGATCCCCACCACGATGACTTGTACCTCAATGCCAGCAGCTTCCTGGCCCTGATCAATGGGGAAAGAGACCATCCCAATGCCACAGGTGAGAATTCAGGCTCCTACCTGTGTTGCTTTTTCTGCTTCTTTGACTCCCTATGTCTCCCTCTCCAACCTGGCCTGACCCCTGTGGCTGACTCAGCCTCTCTTCTTCCCATCCTACAGTATGGCGGAAGAACTTTCTGCGTGTGGGCCACCTGGTGCTGATTGGGGGCCCTGATGATGGTGTTATTACTCCCTGGCAGTCCAGGTAATAAGGGATTTTGTGGCCTGAAGATTGGCTAAAGACATCCCCCAACCCCAGTTGGTCTTTATCTCATGCCTAAACTGGCCTGCTCCTTCCACTGTTCAGTTAGTGCTCCTCCCCCCATTCATCATGTCACCCAAGACCAAAACCTGGGAGTCATATCCCAACCCCTTGTATCAAGCCAGTCACTAAGTCCTGCTGACTCTTCTCCTCTCCATCCCTATCACCCCCTCCCCCACTTTATAAAAACTTTTAATTTTGAAATTCTTATAGATTCATAGGAAATTGCAAAGATAGTATAGCGAGGCCCTTCACCCAGCTTCCCCCAGTGGTTGCATCCTATGTAATTATAGCACAGTATCAAAACCAGGAAATTCACATTGGTTCAATGTGTGTGTGTAGTTTTATACCATTTTATCACATTTCCTACCACCTCTTTACTTACCTGGACTATTATAACAGCCTCCAGCTTTGTCCCCTCCATCCTATTCCTTAGAAAAAAATCCATGGCTCCATGGTACTATGTGCTTGCCTGTGTTATAGGTCACCATGTGTGATCTGTAATGTCACCTGAGCTACTTGAATTGCTCAACAAATATTTATTCAACATTATGGGCGCAGGCTTGTTCTGGGCCCTAGGGATGCAGTGGTAAATAAAAGAGAAGTCCCTAATGTTATGTAGCTTATATTCTAGTTTGTAAGATAGCTGATACATACATACAAATATATATGTCAGGTAATAAGGCAGGGGAAAGGATTAGAGGATGTCCGGGGCCTAGTTTCAATAGTGGCCGAAGAAGTCCTCCTGGAAAAGTCACCATTCAATTAGAGACTGAAGGAAGTGAAGGAGGGAGTTGTGCTCTGGGTGGAAGAACCCCCCAGGGAGAAGGTCTGGCACCTGCAGAGGCCCTGAAGCACGTGTGAGCAATAAGGAGGCCAGCATGGCTAGTGCACAAGGAGCTGGGGAGAGGACAGGAGAGGAGCTAAAAGTGGTAGCAGGGGACCAGGCATGTCAAACCTTAGCAGGTCAAGGTAAGGCCCTTGATATTTTTTTTTCTTTTTTTTGTGATAAAATATACATAACATAAAATTGCCATTTTAACCATTTAAAAATGTACAGTTTTGTGGCATTAAGTATACTCACATCATTGTAAAACCATCACCCATCAGCACCATCCATCTCCAGAACTTCTTTTTCCCCAAACTGAAACCGTATACCCATTAAAAAATAGACTGGGTGTGGTGGCTCACGCCTGTAATCCCAGCACTTTGGGAGGCCGAGGCAGTGGATCACCTGAGGTCGGGAGTTCGAGACTAGCCCGACCAACATGGAGAAACCCTGTCTGTACTAAAAATACAAAACTAGCTGGGTGTGGTGATGCATGCATGTAATCCCAGCTACTTGGGAGGCTGAGGCAGGAGAATCGCTTGAACCTGGGAGGCAGAGGTTGCAGTGAGCTGAGATTGCGCCATTGCACTCCAGCCTGGGCAACAAGAGCGAAACTCCATCTCAAAAAAAAAAAAAAAAAAAATATATATATATATATATATATCCTCATCCCTATTTCCCGACAGTCCCGGTAACCAGGCTTTTGATTTTTTTTTTTAAATTCTGAGTGAGATGGGAAGGCACTGGACAGTTTTCAGTGAAGGCAGGACATCTCTTAAAATATTGTAATAATATAATAGTAAGTGATGAGTTTTATGTACATCATGTCATTTCACATCTACCACAACCCTATGAATGACAGTGATAGCTCATGGTTATATAACATTTTTAATGTTCCAAGTCACTGTTTCTTCCTTTTTTTTTTTTTTGAGACAGAGTTTTGTTCTTGTCGCCCAGGCTAGAGTGTAATAGCACAATCTCGGCTCACTGCAACCTCCGCCTCCTGGGTTCAAGCCATTCTCCTGCCTCACCTCCCAAGTGGCTGGGACTACAGGTGCCCACCACCATGCCTGGCTAATTTTTAGTATTTCTGGTAGAGACGGGGTTTCACTGTGTTAGCCAGGATGGTCTCGATCTCCTGACCTTGTGATCCGCCTGCTTCGGCCTCCCAAAGTGTTGGGATTACAGGCGTGAGCCACTGCGCCTGGCCAATATATATCTCTCTCTATATATAGATAGATATATATTTTTTGAGTTGGAGTCTTCGCTCGGTCGCCCAGGCTGGAGTGCAGTGGCGTGATCTCGGCTCACTGCAAGCTCTGCCTCCCAGGTTCACGCCATTCTCCTGCCTCAGCCTCCTGAGTCGCTGGGACTACAGGCACCCGCCACCACGCCCGGCTAATTTTTTTGTATTTTTAGTAGAGACGGGGTTTCACTGTGTTAGCCAGGATGGTTTCGATCTCCTGACCTCGTGATCCACCCGCCTCGGCCTCCCAAAGTGCTAGGATTATAGGCGTGAGCCCACGCACCCGGCCTTGCCTGGCCAATATTTTTTAATTAAAAGATTTTAACTCCATCTGGCTGGGTGCGGTGGCTCACTCCTATAATCCCAGCACTTTGGGAAGCCGAGGCGGGTGGATCACCTGAGGTCAGGAGTTCGAGAACAGCTGGCTAACATTGAGAAACCCCATCTCTACTAAAAATACAAAAATTAGTGGGCCTGGTGGCGCACGCCTGTAGTTCCAGCTACTCAGGAGGCTGAGGCAGGAGAACTTGAAACCAGGAGGCGGAGGTTGCAATGAGCCGACAGGGTGCCACTGCACTCCAGCCTGGGTGACAGAGCAAGGCTCTGTCTCAAAAAAAAAAGAAAAAAAGGATTTTAAGACCTTTCTATTTTGAAATAATTTCATACTTAAGAAAAGTTTGCGCCTGTAATCCTAGCACTTTGGGAGGCCGAGGCATGAGCCCAGGGGTTTGAGACCAGCCTGGGCAACATGGCAAAACCCTGTCTTTACCTAAAATACAAAAATTAGCTGGGCGTGGTGGTGTGCCCTTGTAGTCCCAGCTACTTGGGAGGCTGAGGTACGAGAATTGCTTGAGCCTAGGAGGCCAAGGCTGCAGTGAGCCGAGATCTCACCATTGCACTCCTGCCTGGGTGACAGAGTAAGACCCTGTCTCAAAAAAAAAAAAAAAAGTTACCAAAATAGCAAAAAGCAGTCATTTATACTCCTCACCTAGATTTCGCAAATGTTAACATTTTGTCATGTTTACATTAATATCTTTTTTCTCTAAATATATATACATTTATTTATATACGTTAATGTTATATTTAAATATAAACATAGATTCAAATTTTCCTGAATATGCGCTCACAGATTATTCAAATTTTTCCAACTGTCCTTACAGAAAAAAATATACAGTGGAAGATCCAAATCAGGATCTTGAGTTGCATGATCTTGTTACGTCTCTTTAGTATCTTTTTGTTTGTTTGTTTGTTTGAGTTGGAGTTTCACTCTTGTTGCCCAGGCTGGAGTGCAATGGCAAATCTCGGCCCACTGCAACCTCCGCCTGCCAGGTTCAAGTGATTCTCCTGTCTTAGCCTCCTGAGTAGCTGGGATTATAGGCGCCCACCACCATGCCCAACTAATTTTGTATTTTTAGTAGAGACGGGGTTTCTCCATGTTGGCCAGGCTGGTCTTGAACTCCTGACCTCAGGTGATCCACCCTCCTTGGTCTCCCAAAGTGCTGGGATTACAGGCATGAGCCACCACACCTGGCCTCTTTTTTTTTTTTTTTTGAGACAAAGTCTCACTCTGTCGCCAGGCTGGAGTGCAGTGGCGCCATCCCGGCTCACTGCAACCTTTGCGTCCCAGAATCAAGCAATTCTCCTGCCTCTGCCTCCTGAGTAGCTGGGATTACAGGCGCCCACCACGCCCAGCTAATTTTGTATTTTTAGTAGAGACAGGGTTTCTCCGTGTTGGCCAGGCTGGTCTCGAATTCCTGACCTCAGATGATCCACCCTCCTCGGCCTCCCAAAGTGCTGGGATTACAGGCTTGAGCCACCACGCCCAGCTAATTTTGTATTTTTAGTAGAGATGGGGTTTCACCACGTTGGCCAGGCTGGTCTTGAACTCCCGACCTCAGGTGATCCGCCGGCCTTGGCCTCCCAAAGTGCTGGGATTACAGGTGTGAGCCACCTCGCCCGGCCAGTAATGCATTTTTGATGGGGTTTCTACAGAAGTGAGGTCGTATCTTCAGTGTATCACCTCATGAAGTACATTATATCCAGTAAGGTAGTTTTGAGTGTCCTCCCTGCTACCTGTCTCCCCAGTAGGCCTTGGGTTCCTTTGGGACCTTAGCCCACCTTGATTTCTTCCTTTCTTTTTTCCTTTTCTTTTTTCTTTCCTTTTTCCTTTCCTTTCCTTTTTGAGATGGGGTCCCGCTCTGTCACCCAGGCTGAAGTGCAGTGGTGCGATCTCGACTCAATGCAACCTCCACCTCCCGGGTTCAAGTAATTATCCTGCCTCAGCCTCTTGGGTAGCTGGGCTTGCAGGCATCTGCCACCATGCCCAGCTAATTTTTGTATTTTTAGTAGAGATGGGGTTTCACCATTTTGGTCAGGCTGGTCTTGAACTCCTGGCCTCAGGTGATTTGCCCTCCTTGGCCTCCCAAAGTGCTGCAATTACAGGCGTGTGCCACTGCGCCCGGCCAGATTTTCTCCAGCTCTTCTGATAACCTCCCCCCAAATCTCTTTGTAGCTTCTTTGGTTTCTATGATGCAAATGAGACCGTCCTGGAGATGGAGGAGCAACTGGTGAGCCCCCTGGGATTACTTCCCCTTCTAGCCGCTGTCCCACCTTATTCCAGAGCCCTCTCTGTGACTCCTGAGCTGAAGGGTTCACCCTGTGGGGAGGAGGTCCAGGATCCCAGCAGTAACTCACTTTGTCTCTCCTTGTGTCTCTCTTCCATGCTTCCACGCCCCTTCGACCACCTTGAAGGTTTATCTGCGGGATTCTTTTGGGTTGAAGACTCTATTGGCCCGGGGGGCCATAGTGAGGTGTCCAATGGCCGGTATCTCCCACACAGCCTGGCACTCCAACCGTACCCTTTATGAGACCTGCATTGAACCTTGGCTCTCCTGAGGATATATTCAGGGGTCCCCAGGAACTCCTCGGTCCAGAGACCAAGTGGTGGCCTTGGAAAGCAGATGTCAGGCTTTGGTGTGCCTGTGACCACCTCATTGCTCCCATATTATCCCCCATTTTTAGTAGAGACGGGGTTTTAGTAGAGACTTGGCCTCCCAGAACCCCCTTCCTCTGCTCCTCCATGAATGACAATTCCAGGCCTCCCCTACCTCATGTCCTCTCATTTGGGGGATTGCTCCGTGCTGTCCCTTTCTCTCAAGGCCGAAGTTGGGAAGTGAGAAACCATGTTTTTAACTTGTGGCTGCTTTTGCTGCTGCTGCTCCTCCGTATCTGGCTGTATGGGTGGAGAACCCACCCCCTGCCCACCACAGGGGTCTCCTTCCAGGCCACTCAGGACATTTTTAGCTTCTCTCCTCCCCATGTTCCCTTTTTTCTCTAAAGTCCCCTGACATCAGCCCTCCCAACTCCTAAGAGGGACTACCCATGAGAGTGGGGTTCTGAGGCTCCCCTATGGGGACAGTTCCGTTCTTGAAGTGTCAGTGTTGGGGAATATCTGTGGCCTATGAGGCCCATCTCAGGTTTGGGGATCCCCCAGTCCCTATGATCAGTGTTGGAGTACCCCCCTGGGAGAGCCTAGTTTCTTTGAGGCCCCAGGCCCTCTTTTAACTACCTTTGAATAGGTGTTATCCCTGTATTTATGGAAATAAAGTTCCATTTCCTCAGTGTGACTTGGCTCATTTCCAGGTGGAGGGGACCTGGCTCCCCAAGGAGGGTGGGGGCGGAGCCTGAGGCCTGGGTGCCCAGATGCCTGGTCTAGGGTGGGGACCCCCTTGGTGTTTCCGCTCTCTCTCAATGCCCATTCTTTGTGGGTTCCTGGTTCTCTGCGGGTTCTTTCCTGCTGAAGACAATTCTCTTCCTCTCCCAGTCCCCAAGACTGGGGGGTTAAGCTCAGGGCTCCAGTGGTTTGGGCCTCAGCCTCATGGGTGGAATGCGCCTGCCACCCCCAGGCTAGACGAGGGGGCAGAGGGTCAGGGTGGGCATTCGTTGTGCCGCTTTTGAGCTTTGTGGGCCAGAGCTGGGTGTAGGGCTGGACAATGAGCCTCCTCTTCCTTGAAAGAAGGAATTTTGGCTGAGACAATAGGGCCCTGTCTGTTCTGGCATGGGGGGTGGTGGCTGACTCAATTCTGTTCCCCCTAAGCCCTAACAAATGTCATGAAGAGAGGGGGGCAGTTTTCCCCTTGGTGCCCTGGGCTGCCCCCCTGCCCCTTTGTGACGACTTGCCCTTCTAGCTTTCCTCAGCTGATCTTGCTTTTTCTCCCATAACCTGAACTGCTTTGTTCCCTGCAGCTGGTTCTCTCCCTGCCCCCTAACTCTCCCCTAGTCTGTTTTGGGTTCAAGGGGGTACTGGTGGTGTTACAGAGCTCATAGCTTCTGATCTGGGGAGTCCAGAAATAGGGGCCTCAGAGGGTTGGAAAGATACTTCTAGGGAGCCCTTTGCTGGGGTGGGGATGAGGGTAGTGGGACTTGACCCTACTGAGCTGACCCTGCTGGAGCTAAGGAGGAGGCTTGTGGGAGGGGGCAGGAATGGGAGGACTCTCTGGCCCAGCCCCTCCTCTCCTTCTTAGCCTGCCAGGCCCACCCACCAGTCTGAGCTGCTTCTGCTGAGGCTGGTCTGCTTGAAGCCTCCCAGGAGAAAGAAGCCAGGTGGGAATGGAGAGAGAGAGGAAGGCAAGTGGGGAGAGAATTTCAAATGGGGAAAGAGTGGGGTTTACTCAGAGCCTTAGGGTGGGCATGAGTTGCGGGGTGTTTTGTTGGAGCAAGGGATGTGCATTTAGGGCGTTATGTGACGGTGTGGGTATGTGAGGGGAGTAGCAGTGTGTGAAAGGTGTGGAGTTTCCAGGTGCTTGGTTTGTGTGTACGGTGTGAAGGTATATAGCTAGGGGTTTTTTTTGTTTGTTTGTTTTGTTTGTTTTTTTGAGACGGAGTCTTGCTCTGTCGCCCAGGCTAGAGTGCAGTGGCATGATCTTGGTTCACTGCAACCTCTGCCTCCAGGGTTCAAGGGATTCTCCTGCCTCAGCTTCCCGAGTAGCTGGGATTACAGGCGTCCACCACTGCGCCTGGCTAATTTTTTGTATTTTTTAGTAGAGATGGGGTTTCACCATCTTGGCCAGGCTGGTCTCGAACTCCTGACCTCATGATCCACCCACCTCAGCCTCCCAAAGTGCTGGGATTACAGGTGTGAGCCACCGCGCCCAACCAGCTAGGGTTTTGAAGGTATGAAGTTATAAGAGGGCATGTTAAAGACAGGAGGGTTGGCCAGGCATGGTGGCTCACACCTGTAATCCCAGCACTTTGGGAGGCCAAGGCAGGCGGATCACCTGAAGTCGGGAGTTCGAGACCAGCCTGACCAACATGGAGAAACCCCGTCTCTACTAAAAATACAAAACAAAATTAGCCGGGCGTGGTGGCAGGCGCCTGTAGTCCCAGCTACTCGGGAGGCTGAGGCAGGAGAATGGCATGAACCCGGGAGGCGGAGCTTGCAGCAAGCCGAGATCGCACCACTGCACTCCAGCCAGGGTGACAGCGAGACTCCGTCTCAAAAAACAACAACAAAAAAAAAACCAAAAAAAAAAAACCCTAGCTATATACCCTCACACCCTACAAAACAAAACAAAACAAAATTAGCCAGGCGTGGTGGCGCATGCCTGTAATCCCAGCTATTTGGGAGGCTGAGGCAGGAGAATCACTTGAACCTGGGGGGCGGAGGTCGTGCGGTGAGGCAAGAACATGCCATTGCATTCCAGCCTGGGTAGTAAGAGCGAAACTCCTTCTCAAAAACAAAAACAAAAAAAAACCCAAAAAAAGACAGGAGGGTCATAAGGGGAGGGTTGACTGTGTGTCCCTCCAGGTTGTGCAGAGGGGATTAGAAGTAAGTAGGTTAGAGGGGAGGTGGAGGGAGTGTGCTGGGGTGTGAGCTTTTATGATGCTGAAAGGATCATGATATGCTAAGGACAGGATAGTGTTGGGTTGTACACACAGGTGTAGGCAATCCTGGTGGCTAGTATGTAAAAGTGAATGTCCTGACTCCCTTAGAGGGTACCTGCAGAGTGCCCTTGGAGGGACTAGTGCTGGAGAAATTAATAGGAGAGGGGACGGGCATCCATTAACCTTTTCTTGCCTGCAGCCTGTAGGGTCCAGCGTCAAAGCGAATCATGGGGTCCAGGGCTGAGCTGTGCACTCTCTTAGGCGGATTCTCCTTCCTCCTGCTACTGATACCAGGCGAGGGGGCCAAGGGTGGATCCCTCAGAGAGAGGTGACAACAGAGGGGGTAGGGCCCGGGGTGAGCTCTTCTCAGGAGCCTTCTGCTGGGGGTGGGGCTTCACAGGAGGCAAAACATAACTGTAAGTTTAGAATGGGGGTGAGAGGCTGTCATCTGGAGGGAGAGCGGGGGGCCTCAGTAGCCTCTTGAGGGAAGTGGGACTCCTGGCTCCCCAGGGCCTGGCCTACTCAATCTCTCCCACCTCATCCTCTGGCATGGACGCAGTCAGGGAGTCTGCTCCAAGCAGACACTGGTGGTCCCGCTCCACTACAACGAGTCCTACAGCCAACCAGTGTACAAGCCCTACCTGACCTTGTGCGCTGGGAGGCGCATCTGCAGCACTTACAGGTGAGGGATGGGGAGATGGGACCCCAAGAACCCCAACTAGGACCCGTACTCAGGGTCCTGAGCCGGGCGCTGTGTTCCAGGACCATGTACCGCGTTATGTGGCGGGAGGTGAGGCGGGAGGTTCAGCAGACCCATGCAGTGTGCTGCCAGGGCTGGAAGAAGCGGCACCCGGGGGCGCTCACCTGTGAAGGTGAGGCTGGGTCTTCCGGGCCTTGCGGGAGGCGCGCCCCACGGAGCTGGGGAGCTGGGTCGTCGGTTTGAGTCTGAACCCCACTTCCTCTGTCCTCAGCCATCTGCGCCAAGCCTTGCCTGAACGGAGGCGTCTGCGTTAGGCCTGACCAGTGCGAGTGCGCCCCCGGCTGGGGAGGGAAGCACTGTCATGTGGGTGAGTCAGCTTGTCCTCCCCACCTACCCAGGTGCTTGCCCCCGCCCCCTCTCTCAGCCCCTTCCTTTTTTCGGTAACTAGACGTGGATGAATGTAGGACCAGCATCACCCTCTGCTCGCACCATTGTTTTAATACGGCAGGCAGCTTCACCTGCGGCTGCCCCCATGACCTAGTGCTAGGCGTGGACGGGCGCACCTGCATGGAGGGGTCCCCAGAGCCCCCAACCAGTGCCAGCATACTCAGCGTGGCCGGTGAGTGGGCAGGAGTACGGGCCACCCGAGGGACTCGGGACGGGCGTCCGGGCTCGGGTAGTGGTCACACTCTTGGTCTCCTTTGTCCCTAGTTCGGGAGGCGGAAAAAGATGAGCGCGCTCTGAAGCAGGAGATTCACGAGCTGCGAGGGCGCCTGGAGCGGCTGGAGCAGGTGAGCCAAGCCTGCTGGGTGGGGCGAGGCCAGACGTCACTGTCAATACCCTGAGGCATCTCTTCCTTTCTAGTGGGCCGGTCAGGCTGGGGCCTGGGTCAGAGCGGTGCTGCCCGTGCCGCCTGAAGAGCTGCAGCCAGAACAGGTGGCTGAGCTGTGGGGCCGGGGTGACCGGATCGAATCTCTCAGCGACCAGGTGCTGCTGCTGGAGGAGAGGCTAGGTGCCTGTGAGTCCTCACACTCCTCCCGCCTTGACTTCTATTCCCCAACTTTCCCCAAGACCCCTCTCCATTCAGGCATTCCCTCTTTCCTCCAAGCCCCTCTCCAACATTCACTATCCTCATGCCTCTCCACTTTACCATCGTTCTCTTCTGAAATCCTGTCCCCAGCCCAACAGTTTCACTTATTGTTTGGTGAGAGTGGCAGTGTAGTCCACTCCAGGCTGACCACAGCCACTGTGTCTGCCATGTCATTAACCAGGCTCCTGTGAGGACAACAGCCTGGGCCTCGGCGTCAATCATCGATAAGAAGCCTCTACAGCACCCCTGCCCCCTAATTTATACAGAAACCGGACCCACTAATCCTCTGGGATTGGCCGACTGTGAGCTGCAGATAAGGCTATCAGCCACCAAAGAGCAATGAACAATGGAAACTTCAGAGAGCTGAAGAAAGGGGGAGGCCTGTGTTCTTGGCCTGCCCCTGAGTCTTCTGGCTGGGGGCAGGTTGCCTGGGCAAGAACTGCTTCAATTCCTTAACAAATGCAACCACCAACACCCAGATCTCTCTCTCTCTTTATTTTCAGTTTTTTTGCTGTTATCCAGATAATTAATAAAAACCAACCACGCAAAACTGGGTCCCACCCTCTCCTTTTGCTCCCAGCCTACCTCCCCAGTTGTGGGAACAGGTCTGGAGTGAGAGGCAGGGAGTGGCTAATGCCACCAGGAAGAAATGAAAACTGGCTCAGAGAGGGGGAAGCCTCAACAGAAAAAGAAATAAATTAAAAGCCCTCCTATCCCCTCCAGCCAGGGTTCGTTCCTTTCCCCAACTCCCCAGGGGGCAGAAGTGAGTGCAGCACCTGATGTCTGCTTCTTCCCCTTGTGTCTGGTGAGATGGTGCAGCAGGGCTGCAGGGGGCTGGGTGGGGTCATGTCCACTGAAGAACTGTACTATGGGGACAGAAAACCAGAAATGTGGAGACTGAACTGGTATCCCAGAGAGTGCACGACCCTGGGCATCTGGGCAAGGGCAGGCATGAGACCTCTGAATTAGAAGGGTCCAGCCCCCACTGACAGGAGGCTACACTGGGAGGGAAGGTGAAGGTGCTGAGGAAAGCTCCCAGGATGAGCCTGGGAGTGCTTCAGGTATCAGCTTCCAGCCAGAGGGCGAGAAGTCCTCCTCACAAATGGATGAGTCCATTGAATCCATGGACTTTGGAGTGGGGGGGATTTGTTCCAAAGAATGGATGAGTCCACTGGCCAATGTGGGGTAGAGGGGTAGAGAAGACCACATAGGAAGAGACTCCACTGGGGATGGAATGTTCCCCTCCCTTGTGTAGGCTGAGTCACTGGAGATGAGGGGGAGGCAACTGTCCCACAGACAAGACAGTAGGAGGTGGGGGTCAAGAGTGGAGACTGCACCGAGGCAAGAGTCCATGGATGGGGCCAAGAGGGGGCAGGAGTGGCGCTGTATCCACATTCACTTCAGAAGTTGAAGATTCCAAATAGGAGAATAAGTGGGGAGAGGGGAGACAAGGAAGAGGGTTTGGCCCTGCTTCAGGGCCCACTGGGTGGGTAGGTGTGGGGAGGAAGATGGGGACAGATGGGAGGAGAGCTCAGAGCCAGGGTTCACCCACCGCCCCCAGGCTTCTTCAGATAGTCACCACCACCCCGGCCATCAGTGGAGATTTCCCGGAAAACAGTGAGCATGGAGTGCCGGACTCTGTCAGCCAGAGCTGGGACGTCATCTGGTGTCAGCCCTTCCGTGGGCACTGGGGGCAGCACCCGCACCTGACATTGTCCTGGGGCAAGGGGAGCACCATCATGGCCTGTCCACCCAGGTCTTTGCCCACAGGTGGGGCCCAGCTTCCGAGTGATACTCTTCCTCAACCTTTCAGTTCTCTTCCCCCAACCCTGGACAACCATCCCTGGGCTTGCCAGCTGCCACTTCTGAGGCCCTTCTCCTATACAAAGCCTTCTCCAATCCCCAGTTCAGACATCTCCTCAGCACCCCTCCAGCCCCCCTCCTCTGGGTTTGGCATTTACTGCTGAATGAGTGTTATTCATTACAGCTTTGTGCACACAGGCCTTATCTTTCCTGTTAAGATTAGTAACAGCCTCTCTTGGTGGGACCAAGTGCTACCCATCTGGCAGGGTATGGTGGGTGCTTAGTAAAGACTTATTGGCTGATGTGGGGTTAGACTAGATGACTGTGTAGACATCTCATGGCTCTGACACTGAATGATCCCCCTGCCTCACAGGGATGTCCTCCCAGCCTCTCCGGACACACCCTACCCCAGAACTGCTCAAAGCCCTCACCCGAGGTGAAGCGACGCTCCTTCTTGCAGTAGAAGTCTTGGTAGGAGGACATGACTATGGGGACAATGGGAACCTGGGGAAGGGTTAAAGCAGGTCAGTCCACAGCTCTCTTCAGAGACTCCTACAATAAGCCCCTGCCCAGAGATGAGGGAATGGTGGGGGTTGGCAGCTGAGTAGCAGAACGAAGAGCAGTAGTCACCTGGGCCTGCACTGCAAGATGGAAGGCGCCACGTTTGAAGGGCAGCATGGAGCCATTGTGGTTTCTCGTTCCCTCAGGAAACACCCAGACCCTCACCTGGGGGAGAAAGAGGGTCAAAGAAGACAAATACATATGGAGGAGTCAGAATAGGTGTGATGTTATAATGGGACCTTTGAGGCCCACTGGCCCTGCATATCAGTTTATTTACAACTGTTCTACTCTGTATCCCTCCAATCCCCCATTTCCCCAGGATGACTCACGTCCTGGGTGAGCAGGGTCTGGGCGACCTCAGACATGACACTGATGGCATCCCCCGTGCGCTTCCGGTCGATGAAGATGACTCCTGCCAGCCAGCAGGCCAGCCCGGCAGAGCCAGCCCACAGTAGCTCGCGCTTGGCAATGGGCACACAGCGGCCTGGCAGTACCTCCATCATCCCTTGGGCAGGGTGGGAGTGGGTGAGGATCGGGGTGGAGGCAGAGTGTCACAGAAGGCAACCCACCTCACCCAGCTCATCACCCTCTGGTAGGGACTGGAGGTGAAGGAGGAGACTAGGCAGGGAGGGGGGCCCCAAGTGAAGGAAAGGGTGACCAAAAGTATATGTACCCTGCTTATGAGGGCAGTTCTACCCAGGGAATGAAGGCCTGAGTGGGAGGCAAGGGGGCAATGTCCCAGAGGAAGGGGAATTGAGGATCTCTAGGAGAAGATATTCTAGGGAAGGTTTCAGGAGGGGAGGCATGGCTGGGGGAGGTGTGCCCTGTGGTGGGGTCTCACCAAGCAGATCGAGAGAGCTCTGGTGGTTGGAGACAACAACATAGGGCTGCGAGGGAGGGAAGTGGTGAGCCCCTCGCACCTCCACTCGGATCCCGTACAGGTATTTGATGTGGAGCAGCATTAGACGCAAGATCCTGTGGGGTCATGGCAAGGGGTCCCAGTGGGATCCATTGATGTCCATCTGCATGCCTCAGCTCCCCCCACCTTACTGTCTTTCTGACCACCTTTGCAGTCCTCTCCCCATTCCCTGTCTCTGGTCTCTCTCAGTCTTTTCTACACACACCATGCCCCCTTCCCCCAATCCACTACTCACTTTGTACCCTTAGGTTCCCTCATTGCCCAAGACCCCTTGCCCCTCACTTCATGTTCTCGACGTTGCGTCCTCGCACGGCACACACAGGGATGGCGAGCACAGCCAGGAAGAGGATCCAGCCATTGTAGAAGGCCATCTTGAAGAAGTACTTGGCACTGGGGCTGCAGAACCACAGGGTGGGCAGCAGGAAGAGCAGCAGCAGGAAGAGCAGCAGCAGCAGCATCCATGCCCCTGGCCACAAATCCATTCTGGCCACCTGCAGGGGATGGGGCAAGGGACAATCAGCCTGGTTTCTGGAGGAGAGTGGGGTAGGCAAGGCACAGAAGGCAGGGCTGGGGGCTGGTGCTATGAGGACAAGGGCCTGAGACACAAACTGGGGCAGGGGTCTCATTGAAACCTTCCCAGGAAGGCTCTCTAGGATGAGGGTGGTGGAGAAAGAGCTCAGGACTGCTCTCCCACCACTCTTCCCAAAGGCTCCGGATATATTCAGACAAGAGACACAAGACACAGACATCTACAATTCACAGATACCTGATAATAAATGACAACAAGAATAATAGCTAACACTTGTAGCTGGTAAGGGTCTTATAATGGTCTATACTTGTGCTGTCCGAGAAAGTAGCCACCACCTACATGTGGCTACTTGAAATGCAGCTAGTCTGAACTGAGATGTGCTGGAAATGTAAAATACACATCAGATTTCAAAGACTGAATAAAAAACAAAATGTGAGATATCCATTACTAATCTTTTATGCTGACTACATTTTGAAATTATAATCTTGGGCCGGGCGCAGTGGCTCACGCCTGTAATCCCAGCACTTTGGGAAGCCGAGGTGGGCAGATCACGAGGTCAGGAGTTCAGGACCAGCCTGACCAACATGGTGAAACCCCGTCTCTACTAAAAATACAAAAATTAGCCGGGCCTGTTGGCGCATGCCTTTAATCCCAGCTACTCGGGAGGCTGAGGCAGGAGAATTGCTTGAATCCGGGAGGCGGAGGTTGCAGTGAGCCAAGATCACGCCACTGCACTCTAGCCTGGGCAATGGAGTGAGACTCCATTTCCAAAAAAAAAAAAAGAAATTATAATCTTTTGGATGTTATCAGATTCAAGAAAATATATTACTAAAATTAATTTCACTCTTTTTGCCTTGTAAAAATGTGGCTACCATAAAAAAATTACATTGTGGCTTGCATTATATTTCTGTAGAACAGTACTGGTCTATACATTAAGTTAAACTCTTAAAATGATGCATATGATAGTCTAGAAAGTACTATTACTATTTACATTTTATAGGAAATAGGCCCAGGGAGGCTAAATAACTTACCTGAGGTCATACAGCTCCTAAACAGCAGTTTCTAGGTTAAATCTAAGCCGCCTGTGTTCCTAACCACTCCATTACGCTGACACTGGTATGTATTGCATATATATATACGAACACAGCACACAGCATATATGGTGATTGTGACAGAACACTCACAGCCATATACCCAAGGGCCAAATGGCAAGATTAAAAGTTCGTGTCACTAATGCCAACAGACACACAGTCATACAAAGACTAACATGTTCACACATAGACACAAATTTATAATTACACCCAGTGACAGATAAAAGAATGTAAATGCATAACTAGAAAAATCCCTCTCCACCCAGGCAGCTCCCCTATTCCTAGGTAAACTTATGGACATACCTGGAATAGCTACAAAGACCAATCCTACCTCCAGACAGGCAAACGAATCCTACTACCCTTTCCCTTCCTTCTAGTGACACTTTGCGTGGGCAGGTACAGTGTGTGAGGCCTCACCAAGTGAAAAAAGGAGGGAATGGAGTAAAGGTGACCTAACAGCACTTGCCCTGGGAGAGGAAAGGGCTCAAGAGGAAGAGAGGCAGGAACACAGAACCTGTGTTCTAGGTTCTTCCTCCTTCCTCCACTCTGCCCCAGTGTTGGGGGCAGGGTAACAATTCACAAAAAGGGTGTTCAGGCAAATACCTGTCATTCCTACTGAGGCCACAGGCACTGTCTTCCCATGATGGGAAGGGCTATGCTCAAAGGTAAGCCTATTGCCAAGCGAGAAGGTAACAGGCAATAGAGGAAACAGGAGACCCTGCCAGTTGGAATACCGTAGGCTTTCTGAGCTGCTCCATCCCACTGCCCCTACAAGTTCAGAACAGCATCATTTCTCCCCTGAACTATGTGGAGTAGGCTCCCAACTCCCTCCAATCCATCTTCCACGTAGCAACCACAGAGATTTTTCTGTTAGCACAGATTTTTCTGAAACACAGAGCATTTCCCTGTCTTGCCTAAAGGCTCTTCTTGATAAGTTGACTTCTGCTTACATCTTCGACCACATCCTCACAAAACTCTTTGTTCCAGTCAAACTGATTCACTTCAGTTCCTCAGACACCATGATCTTTCATGCTTCCCCACCTTGAACATGCTGTTCCCTTTGGCTGGAATGCCTGTCTCTTCTCCTGCCTCACACAGCTCAGTGTCACCTTTTGGAGGGCTGCCTGAACCCCTCCAGGCCTGTGCTTTCCTTACACTTTTATCTTGATCAGCGGGTCTCGAAGTATAGAAATGCAAATTATTAGACTTCACCCCAGATCTACTGAATCAGAAATTCTGGGCATTAGGTCCAGCAATCTGTTTTTCTTTTTCTCACTCTGTCACTCAGGCTGGTTTTGAACTCCTGGACTCACGCGATCCTCCTGCCTCAGCCTTCCAAACTGTTGGGATTACAGGTGTGAGCCATCGTGGCTGGCTAGCAATCTGTATTTCAACAAGCCCTCTGGTGAGTCTGATGTGCGCCTGAATTTAAGAACCACTGATCTTGACAACACACTATGTGTTGACTGGCGTTTTTGTTTCCCTCCTTAGGCTGTAAGCAGCTTAAGGACAGGGACTCTGTCTTATCTCCAGTGCCAGGACAATAGGAGATGGAGTAGGTGCTCAATAAACACTTGCTGAACAGATTCTAAGGCTGTATACCCACCCATAGAGCCACAGTTAATGACAGAGATGGCGGTTCTGATCACAAATTAGATAGTTATCCTCTTGAGTAGAAGTGACTACTAAAAGAAGTCACTGAGAAAGTAACGAACACACCAAGCCTAATGGTAACCGACTCTGAATAGATACATGCAATACATAGCCATAATGAAGGCAGAGTAACAATAATCAGGAAGAGGTCATCTCACAAGAGAAATGTACCGAATGGGATCAAGATGCCACAGGGAAAGATGCTGCTCTCATCAAATGTGTGCCAACAGTGCAAAGAATGGAGGATAATGTCCATAAATAAATACCAACAATGGGGTTCACAGCAGGATTGACCCTGTGACATGCATTGAGCTCATGGACACAGACTGTACACAGCCACTGGAAAGATAATGTTTGTGTAGAGAGGTATGGGCCAGGGAGGTCACCAAGGTAAGGCATGCAGGGATGGTTCTTTGCAGACCTGGAGACCCAGTTACCTTCTTCTCTTAACACTTGATATTAAGTGACCCTCTTTGGAGAACAAAAGTCCAAGGATTTAGAAATGCAATGGAGGGCCAAATTTAATGAGCATACGGCTCACAAAATATACTGATGACAAATTTATAACACACATTCTATGGTCCTGTTACATCAGTGTATCATGCAAAGGCGCATACACATGTGTTCTGTGAACTGTGACTGGGAAAACACAGCAAACAGGCCAATTCAGTC
The DNA here is from genome assembly GCF_000001405.40 of Homo sapiens. NCBI lineage: Eukaryota > Metazoa > Chordata > Mammalia > Primates > Hominidae > Homo > Homo sapiens. Next base: position 3,479,941 of record NT_167246.2, read on the forward strand.
AGACATCAGAGTGTGGGGTATTCAGCCAAGCCATGGGATCCCACACATGAAGACTACTGCAAATGGTAGGACCATGGACATGTCAGCCAAAGCAAAATAAGGTATATAACCTTCACATGCTGAAATAAACATGCCAAAACATAAAATGTGCAAGTAACATGAAATTATAGAACAGGTGCAATATATGAAAACTCACACACATGCGGTACTTAAAACATGTCAAAACTGGATGTGAGACATGGACACAAGAATGAAGAATGGGCAATTCTGATAGAAAATAACACACCATTTCTACACAGCCTATGGATAGCATTGGGACAACCTAGTTGCACACAAGCCATTAAACATGTCAAAGGCACACAGACTCAATGTAGAAAACATGGCTCCCATAAGGCATTTGTGTGTCAGTAAGGGTCTAGCAGTGTGGAAGGCCACTGAGAAACAAGAGGTCCTGTGCCTAGATGGAAACAGAGGCACCTAAGGGTATTCCTAAGAGGCAAATTCTGCTGGCCTTCTCCCCTCATGACCCTTCAAGAGTCATGTGGGGTCAAAGGGCAAGAAAAGGAATTGGGGAAGGTGTAGGGAATTCCCTCTCCAGGATTCCCTGTGCACGCTCCCAGTCCCAAATTCACAAGGGTTTCCATTTCTCCTCCCTCCCAGGTCTCTTCCATCCTTCCTCCCTCTCAGGTCCCCTCTCCTATCCCCAGCAACCCTCTTCCCAGTCGGCCCCTCTCCTTTCCCCAGCAACCCTCTCCCCCAGTCGGCCCTCCCAGACCCAATCTCTCCCCTTCCCCTCATCCTAGTCGCTTTCAGCACCCTCTTCCCTCCTCCTCCCATCCCTTTCCCGCCCACACCTCAGAGGGGTAGGGGGCCTGGGGGGCTGGCCCCCTCCCCAGCCAGGCTGCGGCAGCGGTGGTGGCGGATGGCTGTGTCTCTGTCTCTGTCGGGGTGTCGGTGCCAAGGGGGCGACGGGATTTGGGGGTGTCCTAGCCCCGGCCGATGGAGGGGAGGTGGGAGTGGGAGGTTGGGCCCATAGCGGTAGGAATGGTGGGGGGCTGTCCCCCCAGCACCCTCCCTCCCTCCCTTTCTGCTGTCTCTCTGAGGGCTGGGGCTGCTGCCGCCGCTATTCCCCCGCCACCCCTCCCCAACGCCTGCTGGTTTCCGGGGCCGGCCAGGAAGTGGAGGGCGGTGATGGGCAGCCTGTTTTGCCAATCGTCTCCCAGAAACTCTGGCATCTCCTCCCCACATCTACCAGTGTCCTCTTGCGAGCCCCGCCCCAGGGCTCTCCCTCGGTCTTTGCCCCCATCTCTGGCTCCAGCTGCATCTTTTTTTTCTCTAACTCCCTTTCAGCTCTGGATCCCCTGGTGCTGTATTCCTCCTTCCGCACATTCCTTCCTTTATTCTCCATCAGCTCTCTTTTAACTGCCACTTTTACTTGGTCTCTTTTTTTCTCAACTCCGGTTATCTGCTGCTTATTCCCCCCAACTATTCTTAAGGACCCCTTTTCCCGTACCCATTCAATTCTAAACATTTATCAAGCATCTACCTACCATATGACAAGCATTAAGTTCACCTCTCTTCTTTTTCTCTCCAGGACTCCATCTCACTCCATCTCACTCTCCAGTCCTCTGGTCTGGTTTCCTTTGCCCTTTGTCCCTCACTATCTCCCAGCAGTCCAGCTCCCCCCTCCACCTGCCTTCTCTGGCCTTTAAAGAGAAGAGATCTCTTTGGCCTTATCCCTGACCCTTTCCTTTTCCATGCTCTTTTACCTCTGTACCTTTTCTTTCCTACTTCCTTCGTATCAGTCTCCTTACTTGCCCAAGCTGAGACAACCCCTTCTCACAACATACAATATGGGTACATCTTTTCTTCCAATGGAAATTTGGCTTCAGGGGTGCTTTCTAGAAAAATAAAAAGTGAGGAAGAATGCCGATTCCTCTGGAATGCGCGTGCCTCCTTAATTTGGTAGCCATGTATCTAGTTTTCCACCCCCTCTTCTCTTCCTCCACTCCCATTATCCCTTTACTAGGATCATTCCATCACTTCACTCTCCTTCATTTCCACCTTTCCCTCTCAATATCTTCCTTCCTAAACCTCAAGCTTCCTGAATCCTCATCTGCCCCAGTCCTTCTTTACGCAACTGCTAACTTCTCATCTTTCCTTACTCTTGAGTCACATGGGATCTTTTATCAAGGTCCCCCCTCTAGCCACACCTTTACCCTGCATTAGTTTACATGCCCTCGGGAAGAGGATTGGTAGTGGGAGGACTGTTACCTAATTCTGCTCCTTTAGTCACAGTGAGGGTCAGTGATTGTAGGAAAAGCCCAAACTCCCCGGGGTCCAACCTGGGAAGAAGACCCTATTTCTGATGGGCAAATTATAAAGAGGAAAGGGCGGGTCTAGCCTCCGCGGGTCTCCTTAAAAGGGGCGGGCTTTGTCCCTTTTGCACCACTCACAAAGGGGTTGAGCCCAGAGCTTTCCTGCTCTGAAGGTTTAAAACGGAGTTGAAGTCAATCCTGTTCTACTCTGTGTACAACATTAAGAAAGGGGTGGGCCTTTAGTTCAGTTTTGCTCTGTAAATCACCTAATATGGGGAGGGCTGAGTCGTCCAGCCGAATGAGTTGGGTTAACACCAGCGCCGCAGATCGATGTTCCCACTATCCAAACGTCGGGCTAATCCCAGTTCTGCTCCCTTAACTAAAAGGGAGGGGCAGACCCAAGTTCTGCTCTCTACGTCACCAAAGGAGGTTGGAGCCATTTTGAACCCTGCGACCCTAGTGTTTTCCCTCTTTTCCTAGCTCTTCGCCGTCTTTCCCGATGTCGGCCAATCAGGGGAAAAGGAAAAGGCCCAATCAGCAGAAAGTCCACAGCTGAAGGACCCGGATGAAGCGAGCCTAGGACTTTGAAGTGCAAGCCTCGCCAATTGTAGAGCAGTCACCATGGCGACAAGATAGGGGTGAAGAGGTGGAACAAGAGAAGGTTAAACCCTCACAGGATTGGCCCACCCCCGTCCCGCCGCGTGCTGCGCAGGCGCGTTTTACCTAACCACCATTTTCCGTCAAGTTTTAGCCAATGAGTTGATTTGGAGCCATACGCTCCAAAGTCCAATAGCAATCCGGACATTCTCTAAAAGAGGAAGCGAAGGAAAGAAAGGGGCTTATAGTGGGCGAGGTCTATAGGTAGTCCCGAGCAAATTGCTTATGGCTTTGGTTATGACTGACAACTACTCAGACGAATAAAGCCCTCCTTGGCCAGGCGACAGCGTGTAGCGAGTTATTACCAATCCCTTGGCATTGCACATTGACTTAGACCGTATCAGCCAATAGCCATTGTGCGAAGGCAGGACTGCACTAACCTTTTCCCGCCCCTACCCTTTGGGCCAATCCTTTCTTTTGAATTCTTTGTGACTGGCAGGCATTCAGACCAATAGTGATTAGGAAACCTTGAAGCCTGCCCAACGATCGTGGGCAGGAGGTGGTTTCTGGTTTGTTGGGGCGTGTGTATGTGTATTTGGGGGGACTGAAGGGTACGTGGGGCGAAACAAAACCGGCCATGGCAGCAGCGGAGGAGGAGGACGGGGGCCCCGAAGGGCCAAATCGCGAGCGGGGCGGGGCGGGCGCGACCTTCGAATGTAATATATGTTTGGAGACTGCTCGGGAAGCTGTGGTCAGTGTGTGTGGCCACCTGTACTGGTGAGAATCGAGGAGGGGGGCGGGAGGTGGTGGGTCTCGCTTATATACTGGAGAGGCTAGGAGCGAATAATCATACAGTCATACAGATAATCGGAGGGCACGTTCCCATAGGTGAAGCCCGACAGGAGACATAAGACTTTGCTGGTATGTGTGGGTGGGAGTATAACGGTCGAGATCTGTGGAAAGAAAGGTCTTAGGAACCAGGAGCTGAGGCACGTGATGTGCTGAGAAGAGAAGGTGGGGCGGGGAGTGGCAGGACAATGTGAGACCCGAGCCACCTTACCCCAGAGAAGTGAGGGGTCTTAGCTGTGCAGGTGGAAACAAGTGAGACACAAAGGTTAAGGGAGGCACGCATCAGTTGAGTCGGGGAGAACCAGGAAATATGGATCACATTCAGATGAGATCTGGGAGGGGGCTGGTATAAGGGCACTGTGGAGAGGCAGACTTGAAAGGTTAAAGGGTCATAAAGATAGGGACATTATTGAGCTTGAAAGTGAGTAATGGGGGAATGTGCTAGTAAAGGGGTTTGGTTTGGAGTGATGGGGTTGGGGTTGAAAAGAGGAGACCCAGAAAGAGGTGGCTGAAGGAAATTAGAAATTAACTTGAAAGGCAGAAAAGAGAGGGCACGAAAATTTGTATGTGTTTGTTGGGGAGAGGAGAAAGGAGAGGGTTGAGTGTGTTGAGGATGGACAGAGCTTTAGGTGTTGGAAGATCAGACAAGCAGGAAGGCTAACTAAGTTGGCTGGCATGGTAGAGGTTGCAGAAAATCTGAAAAGCAACAGCAGGTTGCTTGGGAAGAGGGGTTAGATGGGATTCTGCGAAGTCTAGGGTCTGTGTCTCTCTTTTCTGTAGCTAGTTTGACCTTTTTTTTTTTTTCTCCCCCATCCAGTTGGCCATGTCTTCATCAGGTGCGTACTCAGGAGATGAAGAGGGAAATGGGGAGGTCTGAGGAGCTGTAAGACCCTCTTGTATACTGGAAACCACCTTTTTTCTCCCCAGTGGCTGGAGACACGGCCAGAACGGCAAGAGTGTCCAGTATGTAAAGCTGGGATCAGCAGAGAGAAGGTTGTCCCGCTTTATGGGCGAGGGAGCCAGAAGCCCCAGGATCCCAGGTGAGAGACTGGAGGTGTTGCTTAGGGAAGATTGAAGGCTTCTGCCCTTGGAAAACGGTGTGGAAGATGGGAGGAGAAAAATCCCTGTTAACTTTCTCTCTCCACTTCCTCAGATTAAAAACTCCACCCCGCCCCCAGGGCCAGAGACCAGCTCCGGAGAGCAGAGGGGTGAGTCTTCTTGTCCAGTTGTGTCCCTTCCTTGACAGATTTGCCGGCTTCCCGTCTGACTTTTTCTGCCTCCCTAGGGATTCCAGCCATTTGGTGATACCGGGGGCTTCCACTTCTCATTTGGTGTTGGTGCTTTTCCCTTTGGCTTTTTCACCACCGTCTTCAATGCCCATGAGCCTTTCCGCCGGGGTACAGGTAAGAGTCACACTCAGCTCCCATCAGGGAGCCCTGTGAATCCCCTCAGGCCCCCTCCCAGCCTAGGAGCATATGCTTCCACAGCTTTCCTCTCTCCCACAGGTGTGGATCTGGGACAGGGTCACCCAGCCTCCAGCTGGCAGGATTCCCTCTTCCTGTTTCTCGCCATCTTCTTCTTTTTTTGGCTGCTCAGTATTTGAGCTATGTCTGCTTCCTGCCCACCTCCAGCCAGAGAAGAATCAGTATTGAGGGTCCCTGCTGACCCTTCCGTACTCCTGGACCCCCTTGACCCCTCTATTTCTGTTGGCTAAGGCCAGCCCTGGACATTGTCCAGGAAGGCCTGGGGAGGAGGAGTGAAGTCTGTGCATAGATGGGAGAGCCTTCTGCTCAGAGGCTCACTCAGTAACGTTGTTTAATTCTCTGCCCTGGGGAAGGAGGATGGATTGAGAGAATGTCTTTCTCCTCTCCTAAGTCTTTGCTTTCCCTGATTTCTTGATTTGATCTTCAAAGGTGGGCAAAGTTCCCTCTGACTCTTCCCCCACTCCCCATCTTACTGATTTAATTTAATTTTTCACTCCCCAGAGTCTAATATGGATTCTGACTCTTAAGTGCTTCCGCCCCCTCACTACCTCCTTTAATACAAATTCAATAAAAAAGGTGAAATATATTGATGGGATCTCTTCCCAAGTTCGCCCCCACCCCCGACAGAAGCATCTTCTCCCCAACTTGAGTAGATGTTTGGTATAGTATGGTGAAGTATGGGGGTGAGTCCCTTTCCTTCAGGGCCCTCAAGGGTATAGGGGTGAGGTTGTGTCTCATACACACACACAGACACACAAGAGCAAGATGTGTCAGGTGTTTAATCATCATTGTGGGGGGCTCTGGTTGTAGAAGAAAGCTTGGCAAGGTGGGGTTATACAGGAGAGAGATTATACAGGAGAGAGTTGGTCTGAGGCCAGAACAGTTCAAGGGAAAAAGAAAAGGGAGCTGATGGATGGGATCTGTCTGTGGGCCCCTCAAGGCCCTCCAGTACTACTCTCGCCTGCCTCAGGTTCCTCCGACTGATTCAGTTCTGCACGCTCCTCCTCTTCCTCCTGGTTTTCTGGGGCCTTCCTGAGGAGAAAGATTGGGGGGAATGCGGCACGTTGTCGTTCCACCCCCCGACCCCTCTTCGCTTGCTGCCTGGAAGCCCTAGGTCTGAGGGGTCTGGCTTTCTCCACTCACCTCTCCTCTCCTCGGCGTTGCCGCCTTTGCCACAAGATGACCCCAATGAGCAGGGCGGCTGTCCCCAGGCCTCCCAGGATCCCCAGGGCCAGGGCTAGAGTTCCCAGCCCTGATCCTCCCACAGAGCCTGTACGGAGACAGGGAAAATTGAGAGCACAGCCACCACCACTCACCATTCCTTTCTTGTTGACCATCCCCCCAGTCACATGTGTTGGGGGCTATCTTCTGCTTCCCTGACTTTATCAAACCCCTCACCTGCAGTTGGCCCCTCCTCGCCTGGTTCTGGAAGACAAAGTTGGATCCAGTCAGAAAGGAAGACTTCGGGTTGAGAGAGGGTTATTTAGTGGGAGCCCCAGTGGAGTCTTTCCCTTTCTTTTTTTTTTTGAGATGGAGTTTCACTTTTGTTGCCCAGGCTGGCATGCAATGGTGCGATCTTGGCTCATCGCAATCTATGCCTCCTGGGTTCAAGCAATTCTCCTGCCTCAGCCTCTCAAGTAGCTGGCCTCCCAGGTAGCTGGGATTACAGGCATGTGCCACCATGCCTGGCTAATTTTGTATTTTTAGTAGAAATGGGGTTTCTCCATGTTGGTCAGGCTGGTCTCGAACTCCCTACCTCAGGTGATCTGCCCGCCTCAGCCTCCCAAAGTGTTGGGATTACAGGCGTGAGCCACCGCGCCCAGCCGTCTGTTCCTTTTTTTAGCTCAGAGGGAAGAAGGGAGAGGCTTGGCTGCTCTCTTGGCAGAATTTGGGTGGGGTAGGGGAGGCTTGGGTGTGGGTGCATGGAGGGAGAGGTGGGGTGGCTGTTAGGGATAAGGCCAGAATGGGGCAGGAAATTAGAGCCTGTGCTGTCCTGCACCCTAGTCCCAGGGTCTGTAGGGCTTGGGGAGAGGTCTCACCGATGATGCTGATGCTGACAGCACGGCTTTCCTGGGGCCCGTGGCTGGAATGGGTGGCCACACAGCTGTAGGTTCCCTGGTCCTGAGGCCCTATCTCAGGGAGGATCAGCACAGGGCTGGGGGGAAGGGGCAAGGGCACACCCTGGTGGGGGAAGGGGAGAGGAGACTATTTCAAAACCCTTGTCTTTTTGTCTCCATATCTTCAGATACCCTCTCTTCCTCCTCAGCTCCTAGCCTGCCTTTCCCTCGTTAGCCCTCTGCCCTCCCTGTTGCTAGTTATGGTTCACCCTACCTCCCAGCCCCTCTCTCCAGGTCACTCACATCCTTCATCCAGTGGATTTGAGGAGAGGGCTGGGCAGGGACTTCACAGGTCAGGGTTACGGTTCCACCAGGAGCTACTGCTCCACCTTCTGGCTCCACCACCAATTGGACCTCCTCCAGAGGCACAGGCTCTGGGAGTTGGAAGGGTTTTGAGGTGGAGAGTTACACTTGTGAGTGATCCCAGTGGCCATGGGCTTGACTCCCTCTTTCCCTAAGGGTCAGACTTCCAGAACGTGCTCACGTGAGCTTGGGGCCCTCCCCACCTATGCTCACCCCAGACACGGGGCTGGATGGGGGCTGTGCGCAAGGCCCGGTGTCGGGGAAGGCCTGGGCTGAAGCTACAGGAGAAGGTGGGACGGGGATCTCCTCCCCGGGCTGGGGTCACCATTAGCTCCGACTGCAGTGTGAAGAGCCCTGTCTCAGGGTGTCTCCTGGTCTGTTCCTTCACAGATACTCCTATGATGGGAGGATAAGACAAATTATCCCAGGGTGGGTGTGGGAGTGAGATCAGGGAGAAGGCAGCTTGGGGGGCACCTTAGGACTCACCCTTCTCATTAGGCACCAGGGGCTTCCCATCCAAGTGCCAGCTAAGAGTCCCTGCAGGGTAGCTTCCCTCTGACACACATGTCCCCACCTGGGGAAAGAGTGGTGACCTCAGAATCCTTTGAAAATGAGAGATGCCACACACCCACACCCACACACACTCGCCTCCTGTTCACAGGGCCGTTTTCTACTTCTCCTGCTTTCTTCCACTACCTTATTGGGAACACCAGCCGTGAGTTCAGAGGCAGAATCTACAATTTCTGGCTTCCCAGGAATCTCTGAAGGAGGAAAAATCCAGTCAGAGGCTGTAATTGTGAAGGTTCTCAAACTCTGTGTGTGGAAATGAGGCCAGTGGAAGTCAGAGGCCCTCATGGGCCAAGGCTGGGGTTGAAGGCTTTTTCTTAGGTAAGAGGGAGGCCTTGGAGAAGACCCTGGAATTCTTACGGTAGACACGGACTCGGTAGTTGGACTTGGTCTCCTTTCCATTCCTGTTCATTGCCTGGCACCGGAAAATCCCCTCATCCTGGATCCCGACAGCCGGAAGGAAGAGGGAGCCGTTGGGAAGGACACGAGCCACACTGTCCCAGGGGCCTCCTCCCTGGGGAGACAGGACCTTCCAAGCTTCTGTCCGGCCTGTGTTCTAGAAGCAGAGAAGCAGGGCCTAAACAGTGCAAGGCCTTTGGGAAAGGACTGTGAGGCAGAGTGACGGGGATCCAAATCATTGCTGGTCTCCCTGGAAGTTGGGAGGCTGCAACAGGAGCCCCGCTTACCAGTTTCCATTCCAGCCGCTGGGGTGGTTTCTTGGGGGCCCCCTTACACTTCAGCACCAGTGGCTCGCCAATCCGGGCTGTGATGTTTTGAGCACCTACTACTGCCCCTGGGAGATAGCACCATGGTAGAGGGGTAGGAAGGGAATGAGGGCTAACAAAATTTGGACAGGGTGGGTGAGGGACCTTGAAAGGCACTTCCTCGGGTTCTGGGAAAAGTTCTAGGACGACTGGGGTGTGGGGTTAAAGTGCTTTCTGCAGGGAGGGTCAGTGGGGTTGAGGGAGTGGCTCACCCCACAGACTGAGGACCAGCACCCAGGCTCCAACTGCTGTTCCGGCTGCCATCCTGCTTCCTTCCAGGGTCCTGGCTCTGTCTGCCCCTCTCCCTGCTGTGGCCTCCGCCCTAGGTGGGGCCTGCACCCTCTCTCCAGCCCCCATCTTTCAGTCGTCTTGTCACAGGGAATGCTAGGAATTCATGCCTTTGGGACAAGAGTCCTTCAGGTACTAGAGAAATAATTATCACCCCACCCCTGGGTACTACCAGCCTCTGGGTACAGTCACTTCCCTGGGGGATGGGGAGTGTACCCTCTAGGGTCTCATTCCCTCAGAGCCCCCGATCCTATTTATTCCATCAGTCCATCAGGGCTGCCTGGTGACCCACTGGAGCCCCATCTTGATTGCGCAAAGTTGCATCAATAGGGTTCAGGCCAGACTGTTGTCTGCAAGGGTGCAATTGGGCCTGCATCATGAAGGCAAGGCTGGGGAACAGGAGAGAAACCTGTTTGGAACTTCGTGAAAGAAAATCATTTTTTTTCTGGGGTTTCTCATGTTTTTTGAAAAAAATTCTCAACTAAACCCAGGGAAAAAAGAAATTTCTTTATTTAAAACTGCATTTTGTTTTTTTTCTGTGAAACTACACAAGTTTACAAGTGAGGAGAGAACTGCCCCCGGCCCATGCCTCCCACCCCCCCACCCATCACACTTCCAACCTGTCCCCAGTCCTGCCCGGATCTTTAATGGGAGGGGTTCCCCACTCTGACAGTCTTGTAAAATCCTGAGAATGTCTGAGGGGATCAGATGGTAGCTAGTTCAGGGCTGAGGATGGGACAGTGTTGATGTTACTTTTCCCCCACATCTGGCTTTTTGCAACCTCCTCCCTCTCCCTACCCCTTGATTTTGGTGTGACAAAAAGATACCTCATTTATGGGGAAATTGAGGAAGATACATATACAAGCACCCCAACCCATATTTAACATATTTGGCAATAACTCCCTTCCCATTCTTCCCCCTCCAATTTTCAAATAGTAGTTTTTTAAAAAATTAAAGACATGTCACTCACAGGGGAAGATGGCATCTTCAATTTCCTCAAAATTACTGAGTCCAGCCCTGCCCAAGGGTTGTGGGAAGAAGGGGGATGAGAGGCCAGCAGGGCAAGCCCTTCACTGCCTCCACATCAAATGCGGCAGAAACCTGCCTGCATGAACAAAGAACACCTAAGGGATTTTAGGGGGCAAAGCTTGGTGCCCTGTAAAATTTACTTCCTGATGGACAGGCCTGGAGCCAGGGGGGCCTCTTTACCAGTTCTGTTTGTCCCCCTTTCTCTTACCAGAACCCCTTTGGCTATCACCCCTAATATGGGAAAGTAAGAAATAAAAAAAAAAGACAAGAAATCAACATATTTATAAAAAAAAAAACAAGCTACTTCCCCAAACTAAATTAAAAATTAAGAACCACCACCACCACCACCACCAACAACAACAAAAACAACAACAACAACAAAAAAAACAGATGGATCCCAGGGTTTCTTTTTCTTTCTTTAAAAAAAAAAAAGTTCAACCCCAAAGCCCAGTCAATAATTCCCTAAAGTAGCAGAAACTCCCTCCGAGGTAGATATCTGAGTCAGACACTCTCGTCCACCGAGCGATTCTATTGGTTTAAGATGAGCTGCGTATGAGGTAAGTAAGCCGTCCGGAGGGGCGGGGGTGGGGATGCATGGGGGCGTGGCCCATGTCCTCTGTCCAGAAGTCATGTCCCCATTTTTGGCATCTCTGATTGGGCAGGGCTGGCGTCTCCACAGATTCCAGAGCATACAAGTGGGGTGGGGAAGGGAAAGTGGGGGAGCCCAGGAGAGAAACAGAATAGTTGCAAGTGGGAGTATGTGTGTGTGAGGTGTGGGAGAGGGAGAGAGAAAGACAGAGGAGAAAAAGGGGTCTGAGAAATAGGTTTCTCGGTATGTGTATGTTTCTGTGTAAGAAAGAAAGCGAGAGAGGAAAAAGATGGAAAAAAGGGAGAGACAGACCCCACACTCCCCTTAGAGGCCCCATTCTTCCTGCCATGTAATTAGCACCCCCAGCACAGAGAGTCTCGTTAGGGAGGGGATGACCCCATTGGCCCTTCTCTGTCTTGTGCTTCTCCTGTATTGGGGTTTGTCCTCTGGAAGCCTGCGTCCTCTTCAAGTCGCCTTGTGAGAGCCCCCACCCCTGTGACCCTGAGGGGCAAGATCAGTTGGAGGTATCAGAGTGAACACTCCCTGGTCCCTCCGTTGGGGATGTCACTGAAGAGGGGGTCACAGCCTCTTGCCAGCTGCCATTTGCCTGAAAGGAGAGACAGAGTACAGAAAACAGAGAGAGCCCTGGGAACCCTGTGTGGGCACAACATTACTAGGGAAAATGCCCCTCTGTCCTGTGAGAACTGGACAGAGAGGAGCTTCAGGATCCACTCACCCTCATTTCCCGTGGGCTGTACATCTGGCCTCCCCCGAGGTTATCCCCATAGCCCCCTGGCCCCATCGAGTGTCGGAGTGATTCCACCTGCAGGCAGCAGAGGAAGGTATGACAGTGAAGAGAAGCCTCAGAGGAAAGAGGTCTTGTATCCTAAAGTAGAGGAAATGGAGTTGGGGAAAGCCCTATTCGAGAGGAGATGGGCATCTGACCTGGGAAGCAGAATAGGAATCTCCGTTGAGCCCAGGCATCCCCAGAAACATGTCTCCAGATCCTGAGAGATTGAAAGAGCCGCCAGAGCCTTGTGGGGGCAGAGAGGGAAGAGTGTAATAGAGCCCGTGATGGTAGAGGATGAACCACAACTCTCAACTCTTGTGGGGACATGCTACTATACTCCAATTATCCACAAAATAACATTCCAACACACAGAAAGAGCAGGCTGTTCCTTGGCCACCCGTGGGAAGAAAGGCAGAACTAAGATCACTGGAATGGCCTCTGTCCCCTGACATCTCCAGCCTATCTCAGCTCGGTCCCTCTCACCCCAAAAGGCCCCCTCTCTGCTATGATCCTGCCTAGATAGGAAGTGGGAACAAAAGCAGGAAGTGTGCAAAACAGTCAGCTGGGGTGACAGTGGGATCCACCTGCAGAGGAAGGGGGTGTCGGGGAGCTGGTGCGGCTGTGGCCCCCCTGGGTGACTGACACGGCGGTCTTGACAGCATAGATGTTTGCCTCCTCTTGGAACTTTCCGATGTTTTTCTTATAGCGAATCCTCTTGTTGCCAAACCAGTTGGAGACCTGTGGGGCAGAAAGGAGGGTCAGGTAGAAACATTTGCCTCTGAAGTCCTTCACTGAATAAGATGTGAGTGACAGCATTTTTTTTTTTTTTGCTTCCTGGTCTCACTATGCTGTTGCCCAGGCTGGTCTCCAATTCAAGTGATCCTCCCACTTCAGCCTCCCTAGTAGCTGGGATTACAGGAACACACCACTGCACCTAGCTGAGATGCGTGCACTTTGCCTGACAACTCCTCCCGCAACCTCCATAATACCTGAGACACGGTGATGCCACACTTCTTGGCAAGCTCCTCCTTGGCCTCCTCACTAGGATATGGGTTACTCAGGTGGGAGTAGAAATACTCATTTAGGACCTCAGTGGCCTGTTTGCTGAAGTTACGGCGCTTTCGTCTACAGAGGAGGGAGAAGAGCGGTGAGGAGGATGTTGATGTCCTGGCAGGGCTGTCACATGGCATGACCCCAGAGTCACCATTGTCATGGAGTACCATGTTGTGCAGCATGGCAGCTCAGGGTCTTGGAGAGGAATGGGAAGGAGCCCAGTGCTGGGGGCCAGCCTGGGGTCCCTGGGCCCACCTGGCATCCAGGAAACGGGAGCGCAGGATCATCACAGCCTCGCAGGTGCTCTGCTTCAGCTGCATCTGGATGGCGCTGAACTTTCGATGGATGATGCTCACCATGCGTTCCATCTCTTTGGGGGCCACGGGCCTGGTGCGGCTCTGCTCCCTCAGCAGGTTCATGACATGGGTCGTGAACTCATTACATGCCTGTAGTGGGGGCCAGTGGGCTGGTGAGGAGGAGCCCTTTGACCATGGGATTCCCCTGCAAGAGCCCTTCCCTCCACCCACCCAAGCCTCCTCTCCTTACCTGCTCATACTTCTCCAGCTCCGAGTGGTATATGTGACGGATCTGGGCAAGTTTGCTGCGATAGTCCGAGTGTTCGATGGAGTTGTCAGGGGACACACCACCACCAGAGGCTGCAGCGGCTGCAGCTGCTGCTGCTGAGCCGCCCCCTTTCTCGGGCCCAGCCACACCCTCTGCCAGAAGCATGTTGTCCAAGCGCATCAGCTGTGGGTCCACCGGCTCCTCCTCCTGGGAGCTCCGAATGCTGAGGCCTAGCATGCAGGCGAGTGGACTTAGGGACCCAGAGACCCCAATACCCAGTGCTCAGTCCTCCTGGTGCTTCCTGGAGAGCCAAGTTCCCAGGCTTTGGTTCCTTCCCCAGTCCCCCTGACTCCTTACTTTCCTCAGGGCCCCAAGTTGTCACACTCTAGCCCTATAATGAACAGGGTTCTGTTCCCAGAGTTGAGCAATCCGGGGGGGGCCCACATACCAGTTTTCTCCTTGATTTCACACAGGACGCTAAAGAGAGCAGGCTTCATTCGGTGGCAGTTTAGGGCGTGTTTCCTTGGGAGGAGTGGGAGTGGGGAAAGAGAAAAGTTGAGGAGCTAGAGAAACAGAGCAGGGGGCCTGAGAACAAGGAGGGAGGAGGGTCAGTCTGCGGAGGGAGGAAGCGGATTGGGGGTGGAATGAGTTGGGGGTGGAATGAGGAGTTCTTGGGAAAAGATCAGCTCCCAGAGCATGGGGAAGCTCCTCAGCTTCAGGGAGACACAGGGAAGATGCAGGCAGCAGGTTAAAGGCTGCGGGCTTTGGGAGATGGTCTAGAAAGGTAGGAGGAGGAATCTGGGAGTGGATGGAGAAAGGAAAGTGACTTGGTAGGTTTCAGAGGGAGAGAGACAGAAGCTGGGGTTGAGAAGAGTCAGAGTTTGAGGTGGCAGAGTGGGGCTGGGGGTGCCGAGCTAACTGGGGAGATCAGTGTAGGGTGTGTGAAGGGGTCCTGGGGCTGAGCAGGTGGGAGGCTTTGATGCACCTAGTGTCTGGCTGAGCAGTGGAGAGGAGCTTTAGGGGCTCTGGAGAGGGTGTGGAGGTCTCCACATCTGGAGAGAATGAGGGGGCTGGGTGGAGAGTTAGGGGAGAAGATAACGTAGCCCAAGAACAGTTTCTTAGTCTGGGAGCCAGAGGGGGCTCCCGGGGATGGGGCTGTTCCAGGAGACTGCAGGGGTCGGCAAAAGGTTAGGAGTGGGGAGCCGGGCCACCGGGGGTTCCCTCTGTGAAGGTTTCAGGGCCTGGGGGTGAAGGGAGGTTTGAGAGGGATCACTTTTCTATGGGCTCCCAGGAATAAGGAGAGAAGAGAGCTGTTGGATCCTGGAGAGGGCCCTGGAGTTGGGGGGGGCTCCCAGAAGATTCAGAACATGTGAACGGGGTTTGCTGGGTCTGTGTGGGGTCCCGGAGTGGGGGCACTCACTTGGCCTGGGCCTCGTCCAGGCTCTGGTCGGTGATGGTCATTATCTGCTGCAGAATGTCCCCGATGTCTTGCTTCCCTCGGCCTCCCGGGACCCCCCCGCTACCCCCACCGGGGTCTCCGCCACCGGGAGGCTCGCCAGGGCCCCCAGGCTCCCCACTCACCAATCCCAGGCCCCCCCGGCCCCCGCCTGGAGGGGGCGGCCCCAGTAGCCGTTCGTCCATAGCTGGGGGGGGGCCCTGAGGCCCCCTCCCTGCTCCGCCCCTCCCCCCGCCTGGTTACTTCTCCCCCCAAACTCGCTGGGGCCGCTGCTCCCTCCGCCCCAACCCCCGCCCGTCTGCCCCCGGCTCCCGGCTCCCCCGGGGGTTCACCCCGGCACTGAAGGGAGACCTGGGATACCGGCTGGGCCCCCCACAGGAGACCCCGGCCCCCGGCGGCGGAGAAAATGGAGCCGGAGAGAGAGAGGAGGCCCAAGCGGGGGTGTGTGTGAGAGAGAGGGAGGAGGGAGGAGGGAGAAGGGGGGGGAGCGAGGGAGGGAGGCTGGGGGAGGGGAGCCGGAGAGGAAGAGGAGGGGAGAAGAGAGGAGGAACAGGGAGGAGCTGGGGGCGGAGAGAGAGACACAGAAACAGAGGAACTGAGACCTAGTGGAGGAGGGGAGAGGGAAGAGGGGATGAGGGGAGGAGACGGGCCATCTGAAAGATATGGGAAAGCCCCCTGGCTGGACTTCCGCGGCCTAGGAGTGGGGCTGTGTTGGCGGCTGGGGGCGTCTGTCACCTGGGTCCTGAATCAGGGATCTAAGCGATGTGGACTCAGGCCGCTGGAATGCCTGGGTTCACCGGCAGCTCAGTTCGTATTTCTTGTTCTAATGACTCCCCTCCCTGTTCTACTTAATTAAAACCGAAGAGGGGGGCTGGGGGAGATAATTAGGGAGGTCTCCAGCCGCTGCTTAATGAGCCAGTAATTAACCAGCCGGGGAGGGGAGCTGGCCTCTGGCCAGACTGGGGAGAGAAAAGGCCTCTGGCCTCACCTTCCTACCTTTCACCCCGCCTGGGCCCCCCAGATACCAGTCTGCAGTCCAGAGGGGAATTATATTTATTCACACAACCAAAACATCAGACAGACTCAGCAGCAGTGGGGAGGGAGGGTGGGCAGGGCTGAAGGTCCATTCACAGCCCGTAAACCCCTCAGTCTCAGGGATCGGGGGTGCTGGTAGTGGGACTGGGAGAATAGTCTTAATCTCTCAGGTGCCCACCCACCTTCCCTTCTTACTGGGAGGAAGGGTAGAGCTGTCTCTCAGGTTATAACCTCTCAGGTGGAGGCCTGAGCCCTCAGACCCTACTGCCTAGTAGCTTGACAACTGGTGGTGTCCCCACAAGTTAGGGAAAAGACTCCCAGCCACTCCTTGAGATGGGTGCCTGGGATCCCCCTTACTGCCTCAAGCTCCCATGGACCTGTGGGCGGGGAGTTAAATCCCTGTTCCATCTCGCCTGTTCCCAGAGTTTGAGGACTTTCACCCTGTCCAGTTCCCAGGGAAGGTGATGTGGGAGATGAATATTGAGATTTGTGCCGTGTCTTTCAGTCTCTGGTACCCCTGCCAAGCAAGAGTTGAGGGCATGCAATGGGCTGCCCAGCTTTGAGACCAGTGGCAAGGAAGGGCTGGTTGGGGCTCAAGTCTCAGCAGGTGTGTGTGGGGGGCCGGGACCTTTGCTCCTCCATTCGACCCCCACCCTGAACTCTCAGCAGCAACTCCAGGAGCTCTTGCCCCCCTGGAGGGAGGGGAGGCTCTGACCGCTGGGCTTCCATCCGCTGGCACTGGAGGAGTGGAGGGAGAGGGAGAGCTTTGGTGAGGGTCTGAGAGGAGGAGGTTCTTGAGAGGATCAAGGGTTGGTATGGGGAGGCATATAGGAAACCTGTGAAGGCGATGGGGTGCCTAGGGAGAAACAGGAGTAGAGCCCCAAAGAGAACAGGGGCCAAGAGACCAGGAGGCCTGGGTTTGCCTCCTGGGGGGATGTCTTACCTGGTGACTGAGGATAGTGCTGTAAAGCTGTTCTCTGTCCTCGAGAGGACGGAGTGGGGCAGGGGCTAGGCTTGAGGGGTTTTGGGGGGTGTAGAAGGTGGCCCTCTGCTCCTCCAGGCGGCGGGACTGGGCTTCAGCCACCAGGTCCAGAAGGAGTTCAGTCTGCAGGGAGAGCAGGGAGGCCGAGCGGGGTCCCAGGGCTGGGGAGAGGGGTGTGGAGGGCTCAGAGACCCAGAGAGGTTGGCAGACAGGAGCCGTGGGGGAGTGTGGACAGGGTGACGTGATTAGGGACTTTGGATCAGAGGAGAGGGGGTGCAATGGGGAATCCCAAGGGGAGTCTGGAGGAGGTGGGGAGAGGGCCCACAATGGAGTGGGCCTTGGTAATGGGGTCAGGATGTGGGCACTAGGGTCGGGGCTCTCCCTGGGTGGGTAGGGGTACCTGTGTGGCGGGTCCCTGGAGGAGGAGGGGATGGAGGAGCAGATCGCCAAGGCCGAGTGGTGGAGTTTGGAGGGGGCCAGCCTTCCTCATCCTGAGGGGGGCCCTGATGCCAAAATATGTCCATTCTAGTCAAGCAGTGGTGGTTGAAGCGGGAGGAGTGGACAGGGGGCTAGGCCAGTGGCCCGTTTCCTCTCTGTGTGTCTCTGTTCCTGCCTCAGTTTGCCCAAGCCTTTCAAGGCCCCTGTGTCCCTACATTTCTGCCCCAGGTCCTCTCACCTCCCTTCTTTCCCAGTGTCAGCCTCCCCAACCCCGTGCCCAGCTCACCTGCTCACCATCCTCTTCTTCCTGGGGTCTCTCAGCCTCCATCCCCTAGAGGGGAGAAACTGGTGGGGGAGGGGTGGCTGGGATTTGGGAGGAGGGCTGGAACCTTGGGTTCCTGAGGGGAGTGGGGGCTGGAAGGGGTGGGGGTGAGCTGGGGGCTGGATGCCTGGGTACTGAGCAGGAAGCTGGGTTCCTGGTCAGCCCCCCCACGGGCCCCGCCCATCCCTGTCAACTTCCTCCATTCTCTTCCCACCCAAACAGCTTGTTCAGTCTCTCTCGCCCCAGGGCAGCACTGAGACTGGGAAAAACTCCTCCAGCTGCAGGAGTGGAGGGGGCTCATGGTGGGGAAGGACTCCTGGCGGTCTCATCTCCAGAGCCTCAGTAGTCCCCTAATCCCTGGCTCTGCTCCCTCCACCCCACCTCCTCTTCTGCTCTTTCTGTCAACACAGGAACTAGCTACACAGGAAGTGGTTTCACTCCTCAGAATCCCCCTCCCCCCAGCCAGGTCCCTTCCCTCCCTAAGATAGACCCTGGTGTAGGATTTGGCCCTCCCGATCTTCCCTCTTACTTACCGGGACTGGGAGGGGCATGGTTCCAGTGGGAAGTGGAGGATTCAGATCCAGGGATGTGGAGCTCTCAAATATATACATAAAACCCTAGCACCGGGTCCAACACATAGTAAGTATTCAATATATATGTATTGAATAATCATCCCTGACCTCTAGGTATTTAAAATCTATTCAGGAGATGGCCGGCTGCGGTGGCTCACACCTGTAATCCTAGCACTTTGGGAGGCTGAGGCGGGTGGATTGCCTGAGCTCAGGAGTTGGAGACCAGCCTGGGGAACATGGTGAAACCCCATCTTTACTAAAATACAAAAAATTAGCTGGGCGTGGCCACATGCGCCTGTAATCCCAGCTACTCAGGAGGTTGAGGCAGGAGAATTGCTTGAACCCGGGAGGCGGAGGTTGCGGTGAACTGAGATTGTGCCACTGCGCTCCAGCCTAGGTGACAGAGCGAGACTCCGTCTCCAAAATAAAATAAAATAAAAAATACACTCTATTCAGGAGACAAGATGTGTACCAAATAGAGTACGGGAAGGGTTCATTTTGGAAACTTACAGTTTAGTGCAGACAAGGGGCAGGGGAAAGTTTATTTTGGGCATAAGAGATATAGATATGGAAAAATGAGAGGCTGAGGTAGGAAGATTGCTTGAGCCCAGGAGGTTGTGGCTGCAGTGAGCCATTTGTGCCACTGCACTCCAGGCTGGGCAACAGAGCAATACCCTGTTTCAGAAAAAGAAAGAAATGAAATGAAATTGAAAAGGGAGAGGACTACCTCTCTGGCTTGGTCTTTGATCAATGCTAATCAGGCTGGTTGGCATCAAGGAAGGAGCAGGGCAGACAACCATTTGGTACCTCTAAATGGCAACCTGTCATGTTAGGGAGTTTATAGCTGAGTGATTTGGAATGTGAAATGTGATGAAGAGATCTGGTCCTGCCGCTTATTCCTTGCAATCTTGGGCAGATCTCTGTGCCTCAATTTCTGAGTGAAATAGGGTTTTAATAGCACCTACTTCATAGGGTTGATGTATTAATAATGTAATAAAGCACTTGATGCATAGTGAATACTTAATAAACTGTAGATATTATTGGCTTTCAAAATGCCTCATGACTCCATGTTTCAAACCTAGCAACATATTGCTGCAAGGTGGACAAAGTTTCAAGATACTCTCTCCATCTACTTGACTTGTGGCCTTAGGAATCTCCTAAGTGGCCATAAGTAAAAGCCCTAGGATGAGGGACAAAGTGTGTGCATCATCTAGTGCAGTGGTCTCCTACCTTTTTGGCACCAGGGAAGAGTTTCGTGGAAGACAATTATTCCATGGTCGGTGGCGACGGAGGGCTGGTTTCAGGATGAAACTGTTCCACCCCAGATCATTAGGCATTAGATTCCCGTAAGAAGCGAGAAACTTAGATCCCTTGCATGCACAGTTCACAATAGGGTTCGAGTTCCTATGAGAATTTAATGCTTATGCTGATCTGACAGGAGGTGGAGCTTGGGCAGTAATGCTTGCTCACCTCCTGCTGTGTGGCCCAGTTCCTAAGAGGCCATGGACCAGTACCAGTCTGTGGCCCAAGGGTTGGGGACCCCTGACCTAGTGTGTGCGGTTTCTCCCTTGGCTACTAGATTCTTGCTTTCAGATAATACCCTAAATTATCATAGGGCCCCTAAATATACTTATTCTTGCTTTTAAACTATACTTACATCCTCCATCCAATCCAAATGCTGAGCCAAAAGCACAAAATGCTGACATTATGCAGTCACTCCCATCTTTTTTCCCATTCTTCTCCCCAATTCCTCCAAAAAAAGGTAACACTTCAAATCAGCTTTATTATGGGTGACAGATTTAGGGTTCTTAAATAGCGATAGCAGTGGCTAGAAGAAGCGCTTCATCCCCACAGTGGAGTTCTTTGTTGTGAGGGGAGGGAATGCAAGGAGTCATCAGCGGGGGTGGCCCTTGGCCACTTTTCAGCACCTACACAGTGCCTGGCACATAGTAGGTGCCCAATAAATATTTGTCAGCCATTTGTGGGCAGTGGGGACAATGGATCATAGGGGCACCCTTTGGAAACCATATATAGGAAAGAACATCTTACATCCCATATGCCTGCAATTCTTGGTTCCAACTTAGGGGTATTTCCACTCCACTCTGCCCTCCTGTGGCCTGTCTTATTTTCTGGAGGAGGACTGGGCCTGCCTCATCCTAGCATCTTAAACCCTCTTTCCAGAGCTGCAGCTTCTCCACGTGGAAGATGTCTGCTCTGGTGGGCATACATTCATTTTAGGAGAGAAACTAAACTCACAACCCTTCATTTTGGGGGATCCATCTTAAAACCAGGAAGGCCTTCCAGCCTGCCTTTTAATGGGTAATCATTTTTGGAATTCCTCCCTACCATGTATTCTTCTATTTTTTACCCTCTCCTCCTTGGTTTATGGGCATTTCTTGGAGGGCTGGGGGACCACAGTCAAGTTGAGGTGATCCCCGCTCCGGGGACGGAGTAAGGCAAGGAGGCGGGATCGGAATGTTGGAGGCAGAACCGCAAGCTCCCAGGGCCACCCAATCACAGGGCCAGTCATCCGTTGAGACCCTGCCTCCGCGCCCGGCAGCCACTCCGTATCTTCCTCGCATTATCGCAGGGTTGGGCCGAGGCCCGCGCATGCCTGCAGAAAACCTACGGCCGCGAGGGGTCGGGCCTCCTCCTGCTCCTACTCCCGAGAGGCTCCGGCAATGAGAATAGGCCCCGCCCCCCCGCGCAGCCAAGTCTACGGACCAAGTCCGAGCCTGCAGACAAGCTCCGCCCCCACGAGGGCCTGCTCCGGCTGACAGCGTCCGGCAGCGCGGCAGAGCCCCGCCCCCATGCGGGGGCACGCTTACTGACACCGTCCGTGCGCGCGGGAAGGGCCCAGCCTCGCGGCCCGGCGTGGCTTTGTGACGGGCCTCTGGTGGCCCAGCCCCTTCCAGCAGCGTCAGCAGATCCCAGTGGTTACGTTGGTGAGCGACGTCCGCCGGCGCTAGCCCAGCCTGGTCCCGCAGCTCTCGGGCTGCCCCCAGCCCCAGCAGTAGCTGGGCTACTTCCACCGCTCCTTCCCGCGCCGCCAGGAATAGCGGCGTCTGCTCCTGTACAGAAGAGCCAGGGCCGATATCAGGGAAGGCCACGCCCACAGGACTGGGCCTTTCTGCCTTCACTTGCGCGACCACTGGCCCCTATCCCTTCAGGCTTTGCGGGTTACCGCACTTTCCATCTCTCGTGCGCCTGACTGTTTTGTGGGAAGCCCTCTGTCCCATCTAACCCTGTTGTCCTGGGCATCTTTATCGGCTCCGGCCTGGAGAAGCGAGCGGGCGGCTCGGGCGTTGTTCACGGCAGCAGCCCAGTGCAGCGCAGTTTTCCCTAGGGGACGACGTGGGAGGTTGTTACCCCAGTTGGGGGCCAGACGCCTGGGTTCCGGTTTCCCACGGGTTCTGGCCTTGGGGGAAGGGCTATTCGGGCCGGCTGGTCCCTCAAAGGCGGGAAGCGTTGCCCAGGAGACCACCGGCCTGCAGGAAGTGTTGCCCTGGTGACGTCACCAGTGCGCGGGAGGGACAATGGGGCATTGTTCTGGGGTCGGTGAGACCGGGAGACAGTCTCCCCCCACGAGATTCCCCCCCCTTTCCACAGACACTGTGTTCCATGCCAGTTCCCCAGTAAGCTGGAGCGGAGGGCCAGTGTGGTGTTGAGGGTGGGAGTTGGGGGGGGAAACTCACGCGGCCCGTACTTCCACCGCATCTCAGATTGACCGCCGTAACAGCAGGATGAGAGGGAATGCCCCTCTGCTGCACCTATATTTTGCACGCTATCTCCCACCCCATCTGCTCAACTTCTCTATAGCATACATCACCCCTTCCTCTACATACCCCATTTATCTCTGGCCCCCACGTCTGCTTGGGCTGCAATCAGTTCTTCAACCAGGTCTTCCACCGCCAGCCTGGCAGCCAGCATCAAGGGTGTGGTCCCGTCCTCTGTGCGAGCGTCCACTGCAGTTTGTCTGCTACGGAGCAGAAGCTGGGGAGACAGAGGGCCAGTGACCCCTGGGGTACCTTGGACTGCCAACTCGAGTTCCTTACACTATTAACCCCACTCGCAATCCATATTCAGCCATCCTCCGCAGTTTCCCTGTCAGGTTCCCAATCACACCAATTTCCTCCTTGTCAAACTCTAGGGGATGCTTCTGTCCAGCTTTACTTGTAAGCTCGCCCCATTCCCTGTAGGGACCTCAGTGTGTGCTAACCTGGCAGACCTCCCGAGCATCAGCAGCCACAGCAGCATGAAGGGGTGTGCGCCCTGCCCGGTCTGGCTGGTTGGGGTTGGCTCCAGCCTCAAGGAGGCGGCGGGCAGCGGTTGGCCGGGAGAATCGGGCAGCCAGGTGCAGGGGGGTCTCCCCAGTGCCCACGGTGTGAGCCTGGGGACAGGCCCCTCCATCCAGCAGAGGTTCCCAGGGCTCAGGACATCCCAACCATGCCCCTTGGAAGGTCCCGGACTGTACTTCCCCACAGCAAACTGCTGACATCAGGGGTGTCACCCCATCTGTTGGTAAGACAGAGTAATGGGTCAATCTAAAGGACACAACAAGGGGGAAGGGACAACATGTAAGCTCAGAGAGAATCAAAACCTGAGGTGTTGGGAAGCTAAGTTCTGGCTCTGTGTGGCTTTAGCCAAGTGACTTTTCTGCTTTTCTCTGACTTCAGTTTCTTCCTCTGTAAAAGGAACCTGCAGCTTAATTCTCTGACATTCCAGGGCAGTGGTTTTCTCTTTTTTTTTTTTTTTTTTCTGAGACGGAGTCTCGCCCTGTCACCCAGGCTGGAGTGCAGTGGCGCGATCTCGGCTCACTGCAAGCTCCTCCTCCCAGGTTCACGCCATTCTCCTGCCTTAGCCTCCAGAGCAGCTGGGACTACAGGCTCCCGCCACCACGCCCGGCTAATTTTTTGTATTTTTAGTAGAGACGGGGTTTCACTGTGTTAGCCAGGATGGTCTCGATCTCCTGACCTTGTGATCCACCCGCCTTGGCCTCCCAAAGTGCTGGGATTACAGGCGTGAGCCACCACGCCCGGCCTAGCAGTGGTTTTCTCAAACGAGTCTGGATCAGATTCACCTGAAGGGCTTGTTAAAACAGATTGCCTAACATTTTAAATTCCTGAGTCAGTAGCTCTGTAGTGGAGCCCAATAATTTGCATTTCTGACAAATTCCCAGGTGATGCTGATTTTGCTGTCTGAGGACCACACTTTGAGAATCATTGTTCTAAGGCACTCAGTCTAAAATTATTTCCTCTAGTTCTGATATTAAAGGACTCTCTGATTCTAATAGGGTCAAAGGACTTTTTTTTTTTTTCTTGGTCTGGGTTGACTCACATACCAGGTCCACGGGTGTCCAGGTCAGGGGCTTCCATCTCAGATTCCTGGGGAGGAGTTAGCATGGCTGCCTGAGGGAGCGCCCCACAGCCACCACTCAGAGACCAGAGCTGGCACGTGGAGGGTGGGCCTGTTTCTTCAGCCTTTGGGTAACAGCAAGGATCAGTGAAGGTTGATTTGCCCTTTCATCCCTTCCATCACCTCCAGACCATTCTTGCCCCAGCCCTTTCACCTGGCCCACCTCCTCTCCCTCCTCAGGGCCTGAGCACATCACAACTCCATCCTCATCAACTTCTGCCTTTGGCTTCAGTGCCCTGGAAAGGAATGGGTGGGTAGAGGTTACACGGAATTATGACCATCAGGGTCTCCAAAATTTCCAGCAGGCTTCCCACCCCTCTCTCCTTCCCCTATCTTTGACTTCTGCAATAGTATTTCTTATCTTTTCTGATTGTAAATATCGCCATAGGAGAGACTCCCCTTCCTGAGCCTGGGTTTCTCCTCATTCTCACTTGAGACCAATGCTGTCCTCGCCTAGTGGGGGCCGGCGTCGGTGGGGAGCTGACTGAGTCCGAGGCCGTCGAGTGAAACCAGGGGGCAGCCAGAGAGCTCCATGCTCTCGGCGTCGACGCCGGATGAGCTGGAGGACGAGAAGAGCCCCTAGGGCCAGGAGAATCACCCCGGCCACTGGGGAGCACAGCACAGGCCAGGGAAGCTGGTTGGCAGGGGGTGCTGGTGGGAGAGACAGAGTCACAAAGAGAGGCCACTCCTGGTGAGACTGATTACTATTGGGAGACCTTTGGACAAGTTTAGTAGCCTGTCTTTGCCTCGGTTTCCTTATCTGCAAAATGGGGATGATAATATAGATTGAGGTTGGGCACAGTGGCTCATGCCTGTAATCCCAGCACTTTGGGAAGCTGAGGCAGGTGGATCATATGAGGCCAGGAGTTCGAGACCAGCCTGGCCAACATGGCAAAACCCCCTCTCTACTAAAAATATAAAAATTAGTGGCTGGGTGTAGTGGCTTACTCCTATAATCTCAGCACTTTGGGAGGCTGAGGCAGGTGGATCATGAGGTCAGGAGATCGAGACCATCCTGGCTAACATGGTGAAACCCTGTCTCTACTAAAAATACAAAAAATTAGCCAGGTGTGGTGGCGGGCACCTGTAGTCCCAGCTACTTGGGAGGCTGAGGCAGGAGAATGGCGTGAACTTGGGAGGTGGAGCTTGCAGTGAGCCGAGATCGCGCCACTGCACTCCGGCCTGGGCGACAAGGCAAGACTCTGTCTCAAACAAAACAAAACAAAACAAAAACAAAAAAAATTATCAGGGCATGGTGGCATGCCATTGTAATTCCAGCTACTCAGTAGTCTGAAGCAAGAGAATTGCTTAAACCCAGGAGGCAGAGGTTGCAGTGAGCTGAGATGGCGTCACTGTACTCCAGTGTGGCTGACAGAGTAAGACTGTCTCAGAAAACAAACACACAAAAAAAGGCTGAGTATCCATAACCCCAATCCCAAATCTGAAATGTTCCAAAGTCTGAAACTTTTAGAGTACCAACATAACGCTCAAAGGAAATGCTCATTGTAGCATTTGGATGTTGTATTAGGGATGCTGAACCAGTAAGTATAATGCAAATATTCCAAAATAAATCCGAAATCTGAAACACTTTTGTTCCCAAGCATTTCAGATAAGGGATACTCAACCAGCAGTACGTGCCTCATGGGGTTGTGGGGGAGGATTAAATGAGGTAACAATGTAAAATGCTTAGAGTAAGGCACAAAGTACGATATAGCAGTTATTTTTCTTTTTTTTTTTTTGAGATGGAGTCTCCCTCTGTCGCCCAGGCTGGAGTGCAGTGGCGCGATCTCGGCTCACTGCAAGCTCCACCTCCCAGGTTCACGCCATTCTCCTGCCTCAGCCTCCTGAGTAGCTGAGACTACAAGCACCCGCCACCACAGCCGGCTAATTTTTTTATTTTTAGTAGAGACAGGGTTTCACCGCATTAGCCAGGATGGTCTCAATCTCCTGACCTCGTGATCCACCTGCCTTGGTCTCCCAACGTGCTGGGATTATAGGCATGAGCCACTGCGCCCAGCCTATTATTCTTTCATGTACTATGAATTGTCTGATACAAAGACTATTAGGTATTCTCAGTCTGGTAGAGAAGATAAACCATCCCTTTGTTGGAGGGCTATGACAGAGGTTAGGATAATGTGCTTAGGGAAATAAGGAAGGAGACTGTAGAACAAATGGGCCAGTGGGAGATTCAGTTAGAGAAAGCGGGGTTAGGGAAAGTAAGTCCCCACAAAGAACATTTTCAGTCTCAGCTGTCCTGTTTGATTCAGCCTCCATTGCCTGTTGCTAGCATGAGAGCTGGCCTGGGAACAGAGGTCAGAGAAAGTGGCAAGGGGTCACCTACCGGTCCCTGCATGAGGGTGGACAGCCAGCAGTGGTCCAGGCAGCAGGGGCTCCAGGGCTCCCACTGCAGCCATCGCAGCAAGGAAGCGGAGTAGAAGCCCAGGGTCCCAGGGACAGCGGGATGCCGGGTGGTCAGGGCCACAGCGGGACAAATCCACACCCATGACCACCACAAACCTGTAGAGGAGGCACCTCAGAGACCTCTGTATTGGTCCCTGGCTCCCTTTCCTCCCTCTGCCCTCTTAAAAAAACTGGTGTCTGGCCCTTCCCTCCACCTAGCTTCTTACCCAGCACTGAGGGAGTCGGTCTCCTTGCCCAGGGGCTGTGTTTGAGGGGCTGCTCTCTCCTGATAGGTGGGGTCCCGAGTTCCTCCTAGCTTTTCTTCAGCCCGGGCCCCAGGATAGGGGTACACCATGTCCCTGCCATCACGATCCTTCCTTACCCAGAGTCCTACCCTCAGAGTCAGGGACAGCACCCGGGCCAGGGCAAACAGCTGCTGGTCTAGGGCTGGGGGGCTCAGTACCACCAGCAGGGCCAGGGAGGGCCCCCACTCTGGGTCCCCATCTTCAGGCCTGCAGTCACCTCCATCCCAGCCACACTCTGCAGTGTTGCAGCCTTTCTCACAGTGCCCGTTGTGGAAGTGATCATGGCAGTACTGGTCATAGGCTGGACTGTGGGGTAAGGAGAGGGGGACTCAGGACCTCCCTAAAACCTGACTCTTTTCTTCACCCTAGAAAGAATTCCCCATATTTTGTGCCCTCTAGGGCTTTGGTTGCTAAGTGGGGGCAGCTGTGGAGCAATGAGCTTAGTCAAGTCCTGGATGGTAGTCCAGACACCCCAATGTCTGCTAACACCCCTGTCTCCCTAGACTGTCCCCTCTCTGTACCCTCCCAAGCTCTCCTCTGTTTCTAAAGGAGAGTCCCAGGCCCTTTTCCCTCTGTGAGGTGCTGACTGCTAGGGGAAATACTCCATGGCAGCAAGGCTTAGGGAAGGAGGCTTGAGACCTGAGTTCCTTCAACTCTTAGAGAGGAGCCCAAAGGCCACGCCCCACATTAAATACTGATGCCACCCCATTACCCTAGGTTGGAGTCCAGAGTCTTCGACCCCTGTTTAGTGATGGTTATTAGGGTGGAAACTCCCTGGAGCCCAAGGCTGTGGCCACACTGTAACTCAGAGCCATCTACGTCCTTCCTCCTCCTCTCACCCACCCCTCTCCTTCCCTGGCTCCAGTGGATTTCAGGCTCACGTGCAGGCTGGAGGGGTCTCACAGTCGTAGCCATCAAACAGACACTCTTCAGAGTCACACTGTGGGTGGCACTGCCCGTCCCGGAAGAGAAGCCAGCACCGAGAGTGGGAGGGGCAGCCCTTCCAGGGGTCTGGGACTCCCAGAGAGCAGTCCCCTCCATCCCAGTTTCCTCCCGGGCCACTGCAGCCAGCATCGCAGGCCCCATCTCCACTTCTGCCCTCACACCCCTTGGCTCCGGGTTTCTGACACCGGGGCCCTGGAGAGCTGTGAGGGCAGGAGCATCGAAAGCCTGGGCCCCCCAAGCCCGTGGTCTCTGAGCAGCTGCCATTGTATAGGCATGGGGAGGGAGGGCCACAGCCTTTAGGAGCTGGTGGGGTCAGGCAGTCAGGACCCCCATAGCCACTGAGGCAGGCACAGCGTGGTGGGAAGCCTGGCTTAGGGGAGGGCAGACACAGGCCTCCGTGGTGGCAGTGATGGAAGCCGCAGGAAGGGGCCCTGTGGCTGCAGGTGGGGCCTTCAAAACCCTGTGGAGGGGAGGGGAGATATTGGAGATGCAACTTGCATTATTCTTCCCGCTCTCCATCAAGCAAACTCTTGGGTTAAGACGGTGCAGAGGGTCCTAGATTCTCATATCTAAAAGGCGCCTCAGAGAGCATCAAGTTAATCATTTTGTGGATGTTGAAACCATGTCCTGTGGTAATTTCACACAATGACATATTACATTCTGTTGAAAATGGATGAAGCACAGCTGTGTGCAACAACCTGATGGACTGTGGCATTACAGTGCAAGTCCTAGAAGACTAAACAGTTAATAGAATGCTATTATATTATTATTATTATTATTTTTGAGACAGAGTTTCGCTCTTGTTGTCCAGGCTGGAGTGCAATGGTGCAATCTCAGCTCATTGCAACCTCTGCCTCCCGGGTTCAAGCAATTCTCCTGCCTCAGCCTTCCCAATAGCTGGGATTACAGCCATGCACCACCACGCCCAGCTAATTTGTATTTTTAGTAGAGACAGGGTTTCTCCATGTTTGTCAGGCTGGTCTCGAATGCCCGACCTCAGGTGATCCGCCTGCCTCGGCCTCCCAAAGTGCTGGGATTACAGGCGTGAGCCACTGTGCCCGGCCGGCTGTTATATTATTATCTTACTCCTTAGAAATAGGATCATATGTCTTCCTCTTCCTCTGGAGAGGGAACAGGATACAGGAGGAGGACTTAAGTAGATGTAAGTTATTATTAATATTGAAATTCTTGGGTTAGGTTCATGGGTGTTACATTGTTAGAATAATAAAATAAAAGAAGACCAGGCATAAACCAATGTCAGTGTATCAGGAACCAAAGCTTAAGATTAGTCTAATTCCATGCATCTGAGGTCCATAAATACATATACAAACACACACAGAGTTAAAATAACCTATCTGAGGCCACCCACCACGCAGCTTGAGCTTGGGGAGCTCCTGACCTTCCCTTAGGCAACGCCTGTGATTTTTGAAAATTCCATTCATGCTATCAACTGATCCTGCCTTGCCTTTGACTGCTTCTGAGAGACACTTCCCACTGTGAGCTTGGCATGGCTTTTTCCAATAATTTCCACATCAGTGCTCACCCACAGTCCCTTCTGGGATTCCAACTGAGGTATTCTTGCCTTGTCAGCATAGGGGGCAACAGAGAAGGCAGATTTGTGGTCACTTGCCTTGGGGCAGTGGCAGATGAAACCCAGGGGTGATCCTGCTGTGGCCTCACAGGTCCCTCCATGAAAGCAGGGTTGGCTGTGGCAGGGGTCTATCTCCACCTCACACCACTGGCCTGTAATTATGGGGGAGATTAGATGTCACACACTGCATCAGTCACTGCCTCCATCCTAGCTCATTCCTGGATGTTGGCCCAGTGCTAGATGTGCAGGTGAAGGGATCCTGGGGCATCTTTTCTGGGCGGGGGTGGGCGTGGAGGCAGGGGATGGACCAGGTGACGGCTGCCGCATGGGTGGAGACTATCTGGCTCTCCATGGTCTGCTTGGCTGTGCTCCAGACACACTTGTGCCCCTTGTCTTGGGGCCTCACCTGTGTGTCCAGGCAGACACTGGCAGTAGAAGGCATTGGCCAGAGAGTGGCAGGCTGCAGTGCCTGTGGGGTGGCAGGGCTGGTCCAGACACTCGTCCACGTCTCCCTCACAGCGTAGCCCCACAAAGCCTGGAGGGCAGGCACAGTGGAAGCCTCCAGGTTTGGGAGTACAGGTTCCATGGTTGTGACAGGGTTGGGACTGACAAGCATCGAGTTCCTTTGAGCAGTTCTGTCCATCGTAGCCTGGGGCACACTGCAGACAAAGAGGATTAGACAGGGAACCAGTGGATGAGCCCAACCCAGCACTACAAGGGACCCAGCTCAAGATAGTCTGTCCAGTCCCCCACCTTCCAGCTCAACAGCATCACTCAACTCACCATCCATCATGGCCATGTGTCACAATCCTTCTATCTCAACTCCCCATGAGACACAATTGTTGGCGACACACAACTCAAACTTCCCCAGTCCCAAACAATCTCTATGACACACTGCCACCAAACACAGCACCATTTTTGGTAAAACCTTCCTCCCCTGCTAAATACCTACCAGGCTCTCTCATACTTTATTAATTCATAAGCATCTATTGAGTGCCTACTTTGTGTCAGGCACCGTTTTAGGCACTAGGAATACAAAGAAAGTTAGAACCCATTCCTATTTCCTGGAAGCTCTCAGTCAACCAGAGGAAAGAAATGACTAGCATTTATTGCATGATTTATATACATAACCTAAAAATCCCCCTAATGACATTTTATTTGGGTTATCTCATTCGATTTTTACTTTGCACGTAAGGAAGCTGAGTCTCTGAAAGGTTAGTGACTTGTGCAAGTCAAATAGCTATAGGTGGCAGAGCTGGGAATCAATGAAGGTCTGTGACTCCAAACCAATGCTCTTAACCATTTTCTGCTTCTTCATGCCACTCAGCTAGTGAGAGAAGGGTCATTGGCAAGATCTGTACCACGTGCTGGCTTCTTGCAAGAGGAAAGAGAGTGTGCAAGAGTACAGTACCAGGAAGGCAGGCTTCAAAGAGAGAAAAGGGAATTCACAGAGAATCCAAGGAGTGGTCAGAGAGCTGGAAGGAACAGGTGATGGGGGTGTTTTGGAGGAGGGAGCTTCATAAAAGAAGAAGTAAATAGCCGGGTGCGGTGGCTCACGCCTGTAATCCCAGCACTTTGGTAGGCTGAGGTGGGCAGATCACGAGGTCAGGAGTTCGAGACCAGCCTGGCCAATATGGTGAAACTCCATCTCTACTATAAATACAAAAATTAGCCGGGCATGGTGGCATGTCCCTGTAGTCCCAGCTACTCAGGAGGCTGAGGCAGGAGAATCGCTTGAACCCGGGAGGCGGAGGTTGCAGTGAACCGAGATCGCGCCACTGTACTCTAGCCGGGGCAACAGAGTGAGATGCTGTCTCAAAAAAAAAAAAAAAAAAAAAAAAAAAGAATAAGTAAAGCTGAGTAATGGGTGCCCAGAGGTTTACTACTGATCAGTATACTGCTTTTGTTTATGTTTGAAAATGTTCATAATAAAAGGTTAAAAAATAAAATAAAAAAGTGAAAAAAGAGGGTAGGTTAGGGTATCTGTCTTGAGCCTTCTATCAAAAGTTGTGGTTCTGGCCGGGCACGGTGGCTCACGCCTGTAATCCCAGCAGTTTGGGAGGTCAAGGCGGGTGGATCACTTGAGGTCAGGATTTTGAGACCAGCCTGGCCAACATGGTGAAACCCCATCTCTACTAAAAATACACACATACACAAAATTAGCTAGGTGTGGTGGCAGGCACCTGTAATCCCAGCTACTGGGGAGGCTGAGGCAGGTGAATTGCTTGAGCCCGGGAGGTAGAGGTTGCAGTGAGCTGAGATTGCACCACTACATTCCAGCCTGAGTGACAGAGCAAGACTCTGTCTCAAAAAAAAAAAGCTGTGGTTCTATATCTCAAAATAATAAAAGCCATATATGACAAACCCACAGCTAACATCATATTGAATGGGGAAAAGTTGAAAGCCTTTCCTCTAAGATCTGGAACAAGACAAGGATGCTCACTTTCACTATTTTTATTCAAGGTAATACTGGAAGTCCTGGCCAGAGCAATTAGGCAGGAGAAAGAAATAAAGGGCATCCAAATTGCAAAAGAAGAACTCAAATTATCCATGTTCACAGATGACATAATCCTATATTTAGAAAAACCTAAAGAAAACACTGGTTATAAACAAATTCAGTAAAGCTGTAGGATACAAAATCAATGTAGAAAAAGTAGTAGCATTTCTATACGCTAACAGCAAACAATCAGAAAAAGAAATCAAGAAAGCAATCCCATTTATAATAGTTACAAAAAATAAAAACAAATGAATAAATTTAACCAAAGAAGTGAAAGAGTACTGCAATGACAGCTATAAAACATTGATGAAATAAATTGAAGAGGACACAAAAAAATGGAAAGATATCCTGTGTTCATGGATTGGAAGAATGAATACTGCTAAAATGTCTGTGCTTACCAAAGTGATCTACAGAGTCATGCAACCCCTATGAAAATACCAATAATATTCTTTACAGAAATAGAAAAAACAACCCTAAAATTTATCTGAACTGTAAAAGACCCAAATAGCCAAAGCAGTCCTGAGCAAAAAGAACAAAGCTAGAGGTACCACACTACCTAACTTAAAAATATACTATAAAGCTATAGTAACCAAAACAGCATGGTGCTGGCATAAAAAACAGACACATAGACCAATGGAATGTAATAGAGAGCCCAGAAAAACAAGTCCAAACATTTAACAGCCAACTTACTTTCTTTTTTCTTTTCTTTCCTTTTTTTTTTTTTGAGATGGAGTCTTGCTCTGTTGCCAGGCCGGAGTGCAATGGCACGATCTGGCTCACTGCAACCTCCACCTCCTGGGTTCAAGCGATTCTCCTGCCTCAGCCTCCTGAGTAGCTGGGATTACAGGTGCGCACCACCATGCCTGGCTAATTTTTGTATTTTTAGTAGAGACGGGGGTTTCACTATGTTGGTCAGGCTGGTCTCGAACTCCTGACCTTGTGATCTGCCCACCTCGGTCTCCCAAAATGCTGGGATTACAGGCATGAGCCACCACTCCCGGCCAGCCAACTTACTTTCAACAAAGGCACCAAGTACACACACTGGGGAAAGGACACTCTCTTCAATAAATTGTGCTGGGAAAACTGGATATCCATATGCAGAAGAAACTAAACCTAGGCCGGGCGGGGTGGCTCACGCCTGTAATCCCAGCACTTTGGGAGGCGGAGGTGGGTGGATCACCTGAGGTCAGGAGTTTGAAACCAGCCTGACCAATATGGTGAAACCCCATCTCTACTAAAATTACAAAAATTAGCCGGGCGTAGTGGTGTGCACCTGTAGTTCCAGCTACTCAGGAGGCTGAGGCAGGAGAATCAGTTGAACTTGGGAGGTGGAGGTTGCAGTGAGCTGAGATCATACCACTGCACTCCAGACTGGGCAACAGGGCAACAGAGCAAGACTCTATCCCCCCCCCCAAAAAAAAAGAAAAAAAGAAACTAAATCTCTATCTGTCATCATATACAAAATAGATTAAAGCCTTACATGTACAGCTGGAAACTTGAAGCCACTAAAAAAAAAATTCAGCCGGGCACGGTGGGTCACACCTGTAATCCTCAAACACAAGGTCAGGAGTTTGAGACCAGCCTGGCCAACATGGTGAAACCCCGTCTCTACTAAAAATACAAAAAAATAGCTGGGCGTGGTGGTGGGCACCTGTAAATTCCAGCTATTTGGGAGGCTAAGGCAGGAGAATCGCTTGAACCCAGGAGGCAAAGGTTGCAGTGAGTCAAATTTGCGCCACTGCACTCCAGCCCAGGCGACGGTGCAAGACTCCTTCTCAAAAAAAAAAAAAAAAAAAATCATTTGGGAAATGCTTCAAGACATTGGTCTGGGCAAAAGTTTTTTGGGTAAGACCTCAACAGCCAGGCAACAAAGGCAACAACAGACAAATGTGATTACATCAAGCTAAAAAGTGTCTGTGCAGCAAAGGAAACAATTAATGGAGTGAAGAGGCAACCTACAGAATAGAAGAAAATATTTGCAAACTGTCTGACAAGGGATTAATAATCAGAACGTATAAGGAACTCAACAGCAAACACCACCACTACCACCACCGACAAATAATGTGGTTTAAAAAATGAGCAAATTATCTGAACAGACATTTCTCAAAAGAAGACATACAAATGGCCAACAGGTATATGGATGCAAATCAGGGAAATGTAAATCAAAACCACAATGAGATATCATCTCACACCAGTTAAAGTGGCTATTATTGAAAACACAAGGGCCAAGTGTGGTGGCCCATGCCTGTAATCCCAGCACTTTCAGAGGTTGAGGCGGGAAGATCATTTGAGGTCAGGAGTTCGAGACCATCCTGGCCAACATGGTGAAACCCCATCTCTACTAAAAATACAAAAAATTAGCCAAGCATGGTGGTCCACGCCTGTGATCCCAGTTACTTGGGAGGCTGAAGTACAAGAATCGCTTGAATCTGGGAGGCAGAGGTTGCAGTGAGCTGAGATCAAGTCACTGTGATCCAGCCTGGGCAACACAGCAAGACTCTGTCTCAGAAAAGGAAAAAAAATGCAAAAAATAGCAGATGCTGGCAAGGATGCAGAGAAAGGGGAACCCTCATACACTGTTGGTGGGAATGTAAACTAACACAGCCAGTATGGAGAAAAGTATGGAAGTTTCTCAAAAATTAAAAATAGATCTACCATGTGATCAATCTACTGTTCATTACATATCCAAAGGAAATCAGTATCTTGAAGAGATATCTGCATCCCCATATTTATTGCAGCACTGTTCACAATAGCTAACATATGGAATTAACTGAAGTGCCATCAACAAATGAATGGAAAAAAGAAACTGTGTCATATAGACACAATGGAATATTATTCAGCCAGAAAAAGAATGAAATCCTATCATTTTCAGCAACATGGATGAAACTGAAGGACATTATGTTAAGTGAAATAAGCCAGGCACGGAAAGACAAATATTGCATGTCTCTCACCTTCACCTTTGTGCCACTGCCTTAGTTAGTCCTGACCTTTCTTGCATTCCAGGTAGATACTTGCATCAGCCTCCTATTGCATGTGTAATATTGCTCCTCACTCATATGTGGGAGCTAAAAAAGTTAGTCTCATGGAAGTAGGGTAGAATGATGGTTACCAGAGGTTAGAAAGGGTGGCAGGGAGGGGGAGATGAAGAGAGGTTGGTTAATGGATACAAAATTATGGTCATATAGAAGGAATAAGTTCTAGTGTTAGATAGCAGAGAAGGATGGTGATAGTTAACAATTTGTATTTCAAAATAACTAGAAGAGAAGATTTGAAATGTTCTCAACACAAAGAAATGATGTTTGAGATGATAGATATCCCAATTACCCTGATTTGATCATGATACATTGTATGCATGTATCAAAATATCACATGTGTCCAGGTGCGGTGGCTCATACCTGTAATCTTATCACTTTGGCAGGCTGAGCGGGTGGATCACTTTAGGTCAGGAGTTCTGAGACCAGCCTGCCCAACATGGTGAAACCCCATCTCTACTAAAAATACAAAAATTAGCCAGGCGTGGTGGCGCGTTCCTGTAATCCCAGCTACTCGGGAGGCTGAGACATGAGAACTGCTTGAACCTGGGAGGCGGGGGTTTCAGTGAGCCAAGATTATGCCACTGCCCTTCAGCCTGGGGGATAGAGCGACTCTG
Organism: Homo sapiens; assembly: GCF_000001405.40. NCBI lineage: Eukaryota > Metazoa > Chordata > Mammalia > Primates > Hominidae > Homo > Homo sapiens. Next base: position 3,514,860 of record NT_167246.2, read on the forward strand.
TCTCCAAAAACGAGAGAGAAAAAAAAAAAGAAACCAAAAAACTCACATGTACCCCATAGATACGTATGACTACCGTTTGTCAATAACAAAAGAAAATAAAATGGCAACCACACACACAAAAAAGTTGTGGTTCTGAGCATATGAATCAGGCTGCTTAGACTTGAATGCCAGCTTTGCCTCTCCTGGCTTAGTGACCTGGACCACAAAGAAGAGGCCCTAATCCAGCCTGGGGAGAAGTTAGGGACATCTTCCTGAAGAAGATGCCTCCTGAACACCAGCCTGTGGAAGAGGGGTTGGGAAGGCCATTCCAGGTAGTGTCAATAGCAGGGATAAAGGCTGAGAGGCAAGAATCAGTATGGGGTACGTGGCAAAGTCAGCAGCAGTTTCATGTTGCTGGAGCAGAGAGTAGAAGGGTGGGATGGGGAGAGCTGAGGCCTGAGAGGCAGGCAGGGCTGGGTCATGCAGGCCTTGGACTTTATTCAGAATGAGGCGGGCAGCCTCCGAAGGTTCAGCAGGGGAGAGACAGGTCAACTGGACATTTTCAGTAGAGTACCCTGGCCACGGGGTAAAGGCTGAACCTATAGAAGGACAAGTGTGGAGGCAGAGACTGTAGTTAGGAGGCTGATGCAAGTATCTATCTGGAACGCAACAAAGGTCAGGACTCAGGCAGTGGGACAAAGGGTGAAGGTGAAAGCACAGACTTGAGAAAACTTCAGGAGATAAAGTGGCATGACTTTGTGGTTAGTTGGGTGTGTGGGGTTAAAAAAAATAAAAGGAGGTGAAATGGATACATTGGGTCTTCCCTCAGTCACTACTGTCTCTCCCATCCAGCCCACCCTTGTCTTTCCTCCCCCTTCTCCTGCAGACCCTCTCACCTGGCAGAGATACCCACTGGGCTGGGCCATGCAGGTGGCCCCGTTCTGGCAAGGCCTGGACTCACATGGGTTCACGTGATCCTGGCACAGGCTGCCTTGGAATCCAGGGGGGCAGTGGCAGAAATAGGAGGGGCCGCTGTCGACACAGAGGCCTCCATTGTGGCAAAGGGAAGAGACGTCTATGCCTGGGGAGAGAGACAAACAGGGATATACAAAGATAAGTGGGGGGCCGGGCGCCATGGCTTACGCCTGTAATCCCAGCACTTTGGGAGGCCGAGGCAGGTGGATCACCAGGTTAGGAGTGTGAGACCAGCCTGGCAAACATGGGGAAACCCCGTCTCTACTAAAAATACAAAAAATTGGTCGGGCGTTGTGGCAGGCACCTGTAATCCCAGCTACTTGGGAGGCTGAGGCAGGAGAATCACTTGAACCTGGGCAGCGCAGGTTGTAGTGAGCCAAAATCGTGCCATTGCACTCCAGCCTGGGCTATAGGGCAAGACTCCATCTCAAACAAACAAACAAACAAACAAACAAACAGAAACGGTAAATGGGGATGTGGCCGGGCGTGGTGGCTCACACCTGTAATTCCAGCACTTTGGGAGGCTGAGACGGGTGGATCACTGAGGTTAGGAGTTCGAGACCAGTCTGGCCAACATAATGAAACCCCATCTCTACTAAAAATACAAAAAAAAAAAAAATTAGCTGGGCATGGTGGCACACGAATCCCAGCTACTTGGGAAGCTGAGGCAGGAGAATCACTTGAACCTAGGAGGTGAAGGTTGCAGTGAGCCGAGATCGTGCCACTGCACTCCACCCTGGGTGACAGACTGGGACTCCATCTCAAAAATAAATAAATAAATAAATAAATAAATAAATAAATAAATAAATAAATAAGGTATGTGAGGAGGAGGAAGGGTGTATTCAGGGCCCAATCTCTGGGTGTAGAGGCCTTTACCTTGGGGACCACTAACATTCCTGGGTGGAGACTGGTCTGGGCCCAAGGAGTTAATAACTCCTGGCACTGAAGAAATTAGACCATCGAGTTTTACCTCTCTCCTCACCCTTTCTGCCAGAATATTGGAGACATACCCCTAAAGCTTATCATAATGTTAAAGCAACTGTTTTCTTGGCTTAAAGCAAGGCTTGAGCAAGAAATAATTCAAGGTATGCCTCAAGTGAGGACAAGTGGCTTAAGTCTGTCCCCTGAGTTCTGCATTCCTTTAATGTTCTCTCCCTGTGATTCCCATCAGCTATCCCTTAACTCCATCATAATCTCTTTCCCGAGCTCTTCTCATATCAAACCTTATTTTAGTGTTCTTTTACAAAGAGGGTGGCGTGACATCGAAGTGAGTGGGGTGGGGTGAAATGCGTTGAGTGTAGCTGGATTAAGTGTGGTCCACTCTGCCTGGGTTATGATGATCAGGACAGAGTTGAGTTGCTCCACGTTGAGTCATGTCCCTCATGGTTGGGTTAAACTGGAATCCTGTGGAATGGGCTGGTTGGTGTTGCTTGAATTGCGTTAAATGAGGTAACAGGAATTGTGTTAGGCTTCTCTGATTGCACAATTCAACACCTCTGCAATCAAGAACTGATTTGTCTGTGTGGTTTTGATTCTCAGGTGGTTGTTTTGGCCAAAAGCTGTGTGGAAGCCCACAGGAACGGGGCAGGTGAGAACACCCATATTTTCTTCATTTGCTCTCCAGTCAGTGCCGGTGTTGGTTACCTTGGCTCAGTGCAGCCTTCTGGCAGGAGGACAGTGGAAGGTTGCAGAGAGGCCCGGTCCATCCCTGGAGGCACAAGCAGTGGAAGGAGGGCCCAGTCTGGAGGCAGTGGGAATTGCGTGGGCAGGGCTTCTGGGCACATAAGTCCATCAGAGTCTGAGGGGTGGGAGGGAGCGTGAGGCAGGACATAGCATCAGATTCTCAGCCCAGAGATGGTCCTCTGCCCACTCCAGCTCCTCGAAATCCCTTACTTCAAAAACCTTCTCCTGAATGGCCTGGGACCAGGTGACCCTCCCTGGTTTCCCTCCCAGCCACTTCCCTCCTCAGCACGCCTGACTTCAATGGCCCTCACCTGGCAGCTGCCTCCGGTGTAGCCAGTGGGGCAGAGGCAGCGGGGACCCTGAGGGCTGTCCTGGCAGGTTGCCCTATTCCTACAGGGGCTGAACAAGACAGAGACAGGGCATGATAGGAAGAAGTTCGGGCAACAAGGGGAAGGTAGTGTGTGATATTGTCGGGAGGCAACCACAGGGAGGTGGCAAGCCAGGAGGGAAGGCGGAACGAGGTGTGGGGTGGGAGGCAGCCTGGAACCCAGGGGGAGATGAGAGGAGGGGTGGGAAGGCTGAGGGGTTTTCTCCCTTCTAGGGGTCTTTGGGCCCTGCTCACCTGTCTGCACAGCTGGGGCGGAGCTTTCCCTCACAGCGCGGGCCCTGGAAGCCCATGGCACAGAGGCAGGAGAAGGTGCCAGGCCTGTTCACACAGGTACCCCCATTGAAGCACGGGGCTGGAGAGAGGAGGCTGTGAGGGTTTGGGTTCCTTGCCTGTAACCTGGCCTGTGACCTCAGTCACACTGTACATAGGACATACACCCCCCACCCCCATCAAAACGACAGCTCACTGCCATCCAATTAATTTTTATTTATATGATATTTTATTATTTTTAGATAGGGTCTTGCTCTGTTACCCAGGCAGTGGTGCCATCAGAGCTCACTGCAGTCTTAACCTTCTGGGCTCAAGTCATCCTCCCACCTTAGCCTCCCAAGTATTTGAGACTACAGGCCTTAGCCACTGTGTGCCCAGCTAATTTAGAGATGGAGTTTCATTATGTTTCCCAGGCTGGTCTGTTCAATTAAATTTTAAAAAATATGACACAAGCATACCCTCCTTAGTTCTTCCATTCTCCTGTGGACCCCAGCCCCATGACACAGTGGGCACTCACCAGACACACAGTAGTCAGTGCTGGTTTGGCACTGGGGCCCTGTGTGGCTTGGAGGGCAGGTGCAGTAGTAGCCTCCAGGGCTAGGGTTGCAGGAGCCGCCATTGAGACATGGCCCTGAGTGACAAGCTGTCATCTCCTCACTACAGGTGGGTCCTGAAGGAAACAGGTGGGGGCTGAGAAAGGGTGTCCTCCTTCCCTCCCTCCGCTCTCCTTCTCTTTCCTCTTCCTTCCCTTCCTCATCCCCAACCCTATTATTCTTTCCCATCAACCTCCGTTCTCACCACCTCCCACACATCACCCGTGTCCCCTGCAGTCCAGTTCTCCTTAGTGGTGACTGAGACTCAGGGCCCGTGGTCGCCTGCCTTACCCTTGACATAGGGGGTGACCAGCACAGGGTGTATATGGTTTAGGGAGGGTCTCACCTGTGTAGCCTGTAGGGCAGGTGCAGTTGTAGCCAGAGGGCTGGGGGTAGCAGGTCCCCCCATGGGCACAGGGTGCAGAGATGCAGCCCCCTAGCTCTGCCTCACACTCTGGCCCCGTCCAACCCACGTCACACACACATGAGGATCTGGTTGTAAAGAGAAAGGGGAGGGTTTTTCTCTTCTCCTACTGCTTATGTTCCCCTCCCTGCTGCCTGGACCCCTATGACTTCCTCTTCTTTTGGCCCTGAGATTCTGGCCTCTTTCTTCAGTGACTTTGCTCTCAGCACCGCCCCCATCCTCCCCAACACCTGCTCATTTTCTCCAACTAGATATATGCATCTATATATCTAGTTGGAGATATATATATATATATATATATATATATATATATATATATATATATATACACACACATATATATTCTTTCTGTAACTTACTTATTTTCTGTCTTTCTTTAGAATGAAAGCTCTACGAGAGCAGTTGCTTTATCTCTTTTGCTTTGTGTTTCCCCCAGGGCCTGGAACAGTAGCCACACAAAGTAGGTGCTCAGCAGATTTTTTTTTTTTTGAGACGGAGTCTTGCTCTGTCACCCAGGCTGGAGTGCAGTGGCATGATCTTGGCTGACTGCAACCTCCGCCTCTTGGGTTCAAGTGATCCTTCCGCTTCAGCCTCCCAAGTAGCTGGGATTACAGGTGCGCCACCATGCCCAGCTAATTTTTGCATTTTTAGTAGCTACAGGGTTTCACCATGTTGGCCAGGCTGATGTTGAACTGCTGATCTCAGGTGATCCGCCCACCTCGGCCTCCCAAAGTGCTGGGATTACCGGCATGAGACCGTAATCAGCACTGCGCCTGGCCTCAGCAGATATTTTTCTAATGAATGATTAATTCGCCCTGGGATTTAATGCTCTTCTTTCTGCTCTGACCCCCTGGTCCTCTGTTTCCACCAGTTTTTGTGGACTCTCTTCTCCTTGGATAACACTTACCAGTTGAGCCCTCCCACTGCCTTGCCCTAAGAACTTTGCCATCTCCTTCCTTTTCCCCATTGGTCATTTCTCACAGACCTACATCTCACTGGCTGTCTTCTCCTGTCCTAGCGAAGGGAGCCCAAAGGAGGGGGCAGATGGGGAGGGTCTGGAAGATGTTACCTCTGGCAGTGCCCGTGGTGGCAGGTGCAGTTGTCCTCAGGTGGGGCACAGCCAGGGCTTCCATCAGGACAGAGGCAGTTGGCCTTGTCTTTCTGGTCCTTACATATCTGCTTGGGCTGGCACAGGTTGGGAGCACACAGGGGAACCTCACAGAGCTGGCCTGGGGTGGGAAGATGGGTCAAAAAGAAAACAGCTCCTCCACATCCTTCATTGGGCCAAAGCCACATCCTTCATTGGGCCAAAGCCACTTCTTATGCTTGCCTTACTCACTCCCTATGAACCCATGAACCTGTCCTTCAATGGGTCCCTATTGCCTTTAAGATATTGTTTAACTTTCTCAGAATGATATGCAGAGTCCTGCAGGACATGACATTTGTACAACAGCTGTGTTTCTCATCTTTGCCTTGCTGTACCCTTAACTCTGACTTTCTTACAGTTCCTTAAATGGGGTGGGCTTTTCTTCCATCTGTGTCTTTGCACATGCAGTTATCTCCAGCTAAAACACACTATCTGGCACTCTATTTAGACAGACTCCTGACCATCCATCTTTCTATCTTTCTCTCTTTCCTCATTTCCTCCTTTCCTTCCCTTCTCTCCTTCCTTCCTTCCTTCTTTCCTTCCTTCCTTCCTTCTTTTTTTTTTGAGATGGAATCTTGCTCTGTCACCCAGGCTGGAGTGCAGTGGAGTGATCTCGGCTCACTGCAACCACTGCTTCCCAGGTTCAAGCGATTCTCTTGCCTCAGCCTCCCCAATAGCTGGGATTGCAGGCGCCCGCCACCACGCCTGGCTAATTTTTGTATTTTTGTATTTTTTGAGGTGGAGTCTTACTCTGCCACCCAGGCTGGAGTGCAGTGGCGTGATCTCAGCTCACTGCAAGCTCCGCCTCCCGGGTTCACGCCATTCTCCTGCCTCAGCCTCTGGAGTAGCTGGGACTATAGGCGCCCGCCACCACGCCCAGTTATTTTTTTGTATTTTTAGTTGAGATGGGGTTTCACCGTGTTAGCCAGGATAGTGTTGATCTCCTGACCTCATGATCCACCCGCCTCGGCCTCCCAAAGTGTAATTTTTGTATTTTTAATAGAGACGAGGTTTCACCATGTTGGCCAGGCTGATCTCGAACTCCTAATCTCAGGTGATCCACCCGCCTCGGCTTCCCGAAGTGCTGGGACTATAGGCGTGAGCCACCACGCCCAGCCTCTGCTTATCTTTCAAGACTCATCTCAGCCATCACCTCCTCCATTTTTAGTCTGGGTTGGCTGGTCCTCTGTGCTCTTGTAATATCCTGCACGTTTTTCTCTCAGAGCACCTCTGTGGGCTATGATCAACAGGAGACTTGCTGGTCTCTCTGTATTAGACTTAAAGTCACATGAAGATGGCAACTGTCTTACTCAGATTTGCCTCCGTATCTGGCATAGTAGGCGTTGGTAAGTGCTTGCTAAATAAGCAAGTGAATGCCTTTTCTTTGAGCCCCGTCCTCTGCTCCCAAGCCGCAATCACACCATTTACACTGGGCCCATGTGGGCCCTACGGTAACCCCTGCCCTTGTCCCCATGGTTGTACAATTATGCAGGTTTTACACTAAATAACTTTAAAGGATACCATTCTCATTCTATTCTCACATCCCAACCATCAAACACCCACCAATGAACTCTGCCCCAACCCAAATGGAATAAAATATTCTGCCAGTTCTTTCCAATGCCTCCCCTGTGAACCTGTGAAACCAGAGGGGCAGAGGCAAAAGAAGGCTCCTGGAAGATCAAGGCAGCTGGCTCCAACGGGACATGGGTCACTCAGGCACTCATCCACCTCTGTTTGACAGCGTGGCCCTTCAAAGCCTGTGGCACAGCAGGAAGGTCAGGGACCTGCACGGATGTCTGCCTCCTGCTCCCGCTGTCCCCCACAGTGTGTGCCCCAGTTTACCTGGGAGACACTTGCAGTGGAAGGCTCCAGGCTGGTCCTGGCACTGCCCACCATTGGCACAGGGAGAGCTTCTGCACTCATCGATATCCTCCTCACATCGGGTGCCGGAGAATCCTGGTGGGGCGGAAGTGGGTGGGGAGAGGAGGCCAAGGTCATCGAGGGAGGCACAGCATGGCGCCTTCCCTTGCCAGGAAAGGTGAACTTGCAGAGCTTCCCAGAGAAGACACCTGGGGCAGGTGAGCGTGGGGTGACAGGAGATGATGCAGAAAAGGTGAAGCTCAGCCACCTGCCAGCTGTGTGACTTTGGGCAAGCTGGTCAACCCTCTAGGCCCCAGTTTCCTGTTCTGTGTAAAAGGGGAATAATAATGGAACCTACCTCATGGTACTGTTAAAAAGATTAAATGACATAACGCCTGAAAAGTACTCAGCCAAATGGCTAGCCTGGAGTAAGTGGTGAATAAGTGTAGTTATTATAATAGCAGGGGACAGAGGAGTGTCCGGTGAGGCTGGAGAAGAAAGGCTTGGGGCAGCTTTTGCTGGGTTTATGATGAGAGTGCCAAGACCAGCCTGGGACCTCAACATGCATACACAGAGGCTGTGCAGGAGGACTGGAAAGGAGGGATCTTTGGGTGATTTGGTAGGACAGAGATGAGAATGGGCAAGTAAGCAAGGGAAGATTTGGGGATGTAAGAGTAGAGATTTTGGGGAGCAAAGACAGATTTGGAGGACTCCTTGGCTTGGCTAGAGAGAGCTTCAAGTGGCCTTGGGTGATTGCTGAGCCTGAACTCTGCAGGTTCAGAGGCCTGGGGTCTGAGGGTGGCCAGAGAGGCATCTGTACTCACCAGGCAGGCAGATGCACTGGAAGCCGTTGAGCAGGTCATGGCAATCCGCGTGGTTCAGGCAGGGAGCTGAGGCACACTCGTTGGTCTCCACCTCACAGAGCTGCCCTTCTAAGCCTGGGGACATGGGGACCATGAGGGCTGTGGCTCAGCCAGGTCTGCCTGGGAGACCTGTGTTCTAGAATCGGCCCTGCTCCTGACTTGCCCCACTCAGGCGGTCCTCCCCCGAGGTGCTGTCTGCATGGGGTTGAATAAGATGAACCCTGAGGCCCTGCTGCTTCGCAGTGTGTGGCCCTGCTCCTTGAGGTGTGAAAGGCCAGGGAACAGGGTGCTTGCTGGGGACCTGCGGGAGGACTACAAGGCTTTCTGGTGGCCATTCCTGTGTATACAGAGGGCGGGGCTCACCAGGGCAGGCTGATCAGCCCGGAGGACCTCAAGGTACAAATAGGAACAAATTGGCTTGGAGAATGAGTCCCACTTCTTGTTCTCCCTGGGCGGGCCTCCATGCTAGGGAGAACAGAGATCCCAAAGTGGAGGAATTTGAAGTGCATCTGGGAAGCTTGTTGCTCCTATATTTGTCCCGTTGCTTTGGGTTCATCCTGGTCTCCACTGTTTCATCCTGAATTGAGGTGGGATCAACCTCTGGACCTTGGCTTCCTTTCTTTTCTTGCCTGAGGAGTCTGCTTCTGAAGCTCCTTGATATCTACAATGTTGTCCCTTGGGTTACCGAACCGTTTTCTCTTATTTCTCTATGATTGTCTGTTGGGTGACCTGAGCCAGTATCTTTGGGTGCCGCTCAGTTTAGAAAGTCAATATGGGGTAGTGGTTATAATTGTTGAAGCCCTTGGTTTGAATCTCAGCTCTGCCACTTGCTAGCTGGGTGACCTTGGACAAGTCACTTAAACTCTCTGTGCCTCAGTTTCTTCAGTTATAAAATGGGCAGTGCTGACCTCATAGGGTTATTGTAATAAGTAGATGAGACAATGCCTGTAAGATGCTCAGACAGTACCTGGCATAAAGTTGGCGATTATTTTTCTGATTTCATTCAACTCCTTGATGTTGGCTCTGTTGCTGTCTCCCTGGGGCGACTTTTCCCCCTTAAAGCTAGCCTGGAGGTGGGTGCTGTCTTGCAGCAATTTTTTTCTTGTTGTACCAAATTTTCCTGTTGTATCACAGGGCTTTTGGGATTTTAAGGGATTACCTTGAATCTCTACATGGGAGAGTTTCTATAATCAGAGGGAGCATTCTGGGTTGACCTGAGCAAAGGCTGCAGCACAGAAAGTTTATGAACTGCTCTTCTACCCTCTCTTGCTGGGCTGCTGTGTACAGTGGACCAGGTTGTGCAGCCTCTATGATGACTATGAAATGAATGGCAGCTTCCCCCCAAGTTGAGGAATGCATAACCTCACTACCATCTGTGGTAACCCCTCTCCTAGGGGTCTTGGGTGTCCCTGAGTTTTCGTCTGGGGGTAGAGAGAGAAGCATCTGTGGTAACTTACGCCAATTGGCCTGAAGCTGTCCTTACTCTGGAGGGGGCATTCCTAGTGGGTTCAGGACTAGTTCCCTGTTTTCCCCACCCAAGGCCCCATCCAGCTGATACCTGGCGGGCAGAGGCAGTGGAAGGTGGCAAGTAGGTCCAGACAGGTGCTTCCTGGGTGGCAGGGCTGGGAGAGGCACTCATTGTGATCAGCCTCACAACGGGAGCCTGTGTAGCCAGGTGGACAGAGGCAGTTGAAGGAGCCAGGAGTGTTGAGGCAGGAACCGCCATGTTCACAGGGACTTGGGCCTTGCTGGGCTGGGAGGAGAGAAGAGCTGGGAGTCCACAGGGGTCAGGGCGGGAAGGGCAAGGAGGTGAGACTGTCAGGGAAGGTGTGGGGGCCTGCGTGTGGCAGACGAGACCAAATTGGGGAAGGGGCTTGTGTCTTTAAGATGGAAAGGAAATAAGGGACCAATTTCATGGGGACTGAGGGGCTGAACATTGGAGAGAGGGTCATGTAGGCAAGAGATGCCAAATCTGGGCAAATTCAAGGAAAAAGATGTTTGGTTTTTTAATTGGAAAAGCAATCTGCCCTTTTCTGTCTTCAGTGCAGAGGCCTGTCTGAGGCTCAGAGAGGCTCTGAAGTGGGAGTGGCCTCACCCATCAGACACTCGTCCAGGTCCTGGTGGCAGGTGGGCCCCGAATAGCCAGGCTGACACAGGCAGAGTGTGGAGCCTGTGAGGGGGTTGGTGCTGCATTGGGCATCCCCATGGCACGGCTGGCTCAGACACATGTCTTCCAAGTGGCACAGGAGTCCTGGAGGGGTAAGAGGGGGTGAGGCTCTCAAAGGCCACTTGAAGCTCCTAGCAGTCCTCCTGGTGCTTCTCTCACCCTCCTTCTCTACCTCCCACCTCCTGATACCCTCTACCCCCATACCTGTGCGTCCAGGTGGGCAGAGGCAGGAGAAAGAGCCCACCCGGTCAATGCAGGTGGATCCCGGGGCACAGGTGGCAGCAATACAGTCATCCAGGTTCTCCTCACAGCTTGTGCCGCCCCAGCCACTCACACACACGCAGTGAAAGCTACCAGCAGAGTTCTGGCAGGTGCCCCCGTTTCTGCAGTGAGGGGGACCCTGGGTCTCACACTCATCCACATCTTCGGAGCAGTCCCAGCCTGCAGGGGGTTGGGGAGGGGACGAGGGCTAAGGCTGGGAGCCCTATGAGTAGGGGAGGCCAGGGGCCAACTCTCTGGGCCATGGGTGTCATGGATGTGGCTTAAACAACTCACCTGTCCAGGTTTCTGGGCAGAGGCAGGTGTAGGTGTCCAGCCCATCCTGGCAAGTGCCCCCATTCTGACACTGGTGGCTGACACAGTTGTCTGGATTCACCTCACAGTCTGGGCCTATGAAACCTGACAGGGTCATGGATCAGCTGTGGGAGGAGGCTCCAACGGAGACATCCTGCCCTGCCCAGAGAGAGGGGCGGCCGGAGAGCCCCTGTGAGGACACACCTGGGGGACAGAGGCAGAGGTGAAAGGTGGAGTCTTTCTCTGGCATCAGCTGGCAGGTGCCCCCATTCGAACAGCCCCTAGGAGGGCAGGGTCCTGCCCGCAGCTCACAACGTGGACCCTCCTGCCCCACAGGGCAGAGGCACTGGAAGGAGCCCAGGGTGTTATGGCAGGAGGTGCCTTTGGGGCAGGGTCCTGGGTCCTGGAAGCACTCGTTGACATCACGTTCACAGGCATGGCCCTCGAAGCCCGGTGGGCAGTGGCACTGGATCTGGGGGTATGTGGCCAGACACACCCCTCCATTAACACATGGGTTGGCTGAACAGAAGTCCCGAAGCTGGCACTGCTCACCTGAGGCAGAGGACAGAGGGAGCCGTTTCTAGCATTGTACGAATTCTAGCCCATCTGAGGTTACCCAGTGCTCACTCTGGATTATCTCTGGGTCTCATTTTCATATTTCCTTCCCTTTATTACCATACTTTCTTTGCTCTGTTCCATCACCCCTGCTCTGAGCGATGTCATGGCTTGGGAGGGTTTATCTGGAGTGACCATATCTTCTAAAGTGATGATGAGAGTATTGCAAATTGGCCTTGCCTGAGAAAATCTGGGACGTGGGTGATCTTGGGGGAGGTGAAAAGCACCCCACGTCTGCAGGCAGGAGACTCAGGTGGCACCATGCTGTGCCACAACTGGTTGTATACCCTTGGGTGAGCCACTTTGCCTTTCTGATCCTCATTTCCTAATCTTTAAGTGGGTTTAGGCACCTGGAGACTCACTTCACAGTCCATGTGCACCAGTGGTAATGGCGGCAGCAGTGGAGGTGCCAGGTGCTGAGCTGAGCAAGCATCTCCTGAGCATCGGCCCCTTCTGTCCTCTCAGCAACCTTATGAAGTGTGACCATTACTCTCCCTGTTTGTCAGCTGACAACTGAACACCAGAAAGCTAAAATATCTTATATGAGGTCATGTAGCTGATCAGTGGCAGAGCTAGCATTTGGATCCAGGGGCTGGTGCAGAGCCCCTAGAATGAAGCACTAAGCTTGCCCCAGGGTTACACCCCTCCTCCTGGGGCGGCCCCCAATCCACTCTCGGGGTCACATCCTTCCCTTCCCGGTGCCCCTCCCACCACTGCAGTCTTCCCAGGTGATATAATGGCTCCCTCCACTCAGAATGGGAGCCATTCAGATGCTCAGAATGCAAAAGTCTGGAGGACCCCTGGTATGCAGAGCAATGACCCTCTAGCTGCTAGGCAATGGGGAGATTAAAGGGGCTAGGACAGGCATCAGGATGGTGCACAAAGGGGGCTCATGGCACCCTTAATTTGGAAATATTTTAACATTTTAGCAATCAGTACAACCATGCTGGTGAATGTTGGTTGTGGGTAAGTGGATTGCCAAGAATTGGCATGTTGATTCTCATGGCTTCTGTCTTCAAAGGGCTTGCAGTTTCTCAGGCTCCAGTTCCATCTTCCCCACCCACAGCCTAGCCCATTGCTCCTGCCTGTCCCCTCCTGGCTGCCCCCAGCAGCGCTTACCTGTCCATCCAGGCATGCAGGAGCACTGTGGGCGGCCCGAGGCCTGGATGTGGCAGCGGCCCCTTTTGGAACAGAAGGAGGGAGGACAAGGGTCTTCAAGCTGGGCCTGGCATCTCTCGCCAGTGAAGCCAGGGAGGCAAGTGCACAAGAAGCTGGGTGTCAATGGAGAGGGAGAGCTGGGGAGCCCTAGGGGAGCGGGAAGCAGGGCTTGGCAGCTGCCTCCATTTTGGCAGAGCTGGGCGTTCTGGCAGGGGTCAGGAAACTGGCACGTCTCACCCAGGAAGCCAGGGGCACACCTGGGCAGGGGAGGAGAGGAAAACTCACATCACTGGCCCCTCTTCCTATTCTTGCCCACTCCCTCCTCTGCCTTCATTTGTTTCCCTTCATCTCCTTCACTTCCTCTCTTTCTTCTTTGGTCTCACTTCCTCACCTCTCCCCCCCTGCTCTCCCTCCCCCTTTCTCTCCAGTCTCCCACTCCTGCAAGGCACACTCACTGGCAGGTCCCTTGTCCCAGAGACAGGCTCAGGCAGGTGCCTCCATTGGCACAGGGTTCTGGGAAACTCCCACACAGCAGCCCTGAGGGTGGAGAGGCAGGCGCAATGGAAGCCCTGGGTGCTGTGCCTCCACCTTTCCTCTTCTAGGTGCTCCTGAGAGACCTGCCCACAGCAGCTCCCACAGGTACTCTAAACCACCTCTTCTTCACATCTGTCCCCACTCTCCACATGGTACCCAGCCCCAGCCCCAGTGCCCTCCGTCCCAGTTACTAATCCCTACCCCCCTTTCCTGTTTATTCTCTGGCCTCCCAAGTCCAGCCTCGGACTCCATCTCTCGGAAGCAAGACAACAGGGGTCAGAAGAGGGGCGGAGGTGGCTCCCGGGAGGTGAATGGCTGAGACTTCGAAGAGATTTCCTCCCGGAAAGGCCGAGCATTGAGCCATCCGGGGGGTGGGGACAGCTGGACTAAGAAAGGGCTTAGTAGGCCTGACCTTTCATGTCCCCATCTCCTGCTTCCCTCTCATCTCCTCCCCAAGCAGGTGGTCAGTGTGTTCCCTCTTCCCCTCTTCCCTATGGCTGCAAGAGTCCTCCAGTGCCAGTGCTGACGAGGTTCTTCCTGGAGGTGGGCACCCTCTCACCCATCCCCCAGCAGTCACCACCCCTGGCACCAGGCCCAAAGCAGCTCCATGGGCAGAGCCGTCTTTCCCTGGAGGCCGTCTCTATTTGGGCAGTGAGAATCTCCTCCATCCAGCATCCCTCACACGGCCTGGGGCTTGGCCCTCTTCCCCCACCCCACTGAACATCCTCCTAAGGGAGCTGGGTCCCCTCACCTCACCCACGCCATGCCTCACCTCTGGGTCTGACCACTGAGACACATAGCAGCAGCAGCAGCAGCAGCAGCAGCAGTGAAGGGGGCTGCATTCCACAGCCCCTTCTCCAAGCCCCAGTCCCTGTCCCTCTTCAGGCAGGGACCCTCAGAGCTCTCACTGGGGCAGGAGCCACCTCCTCTGCTCCCACTGCCCCTCTTCTTCCTCCTCGGCCTGCTGCAAGCCTCACGTCTGAGCTGTTTCCTGAGTCACACAATGTCCTGGACACCCTAGTAATGGGGGGCGGAGGAAGAGTGGAGGAACACTAGGGGGGATGAAGGAGGGGCCTTCTGTCCCTGACAACCCCTGGGGAAGTAGGGGGAAGTAGGACGGTGTGCCTGGAGGGCAGGTGATAGGAGGGGAGAAGGAATCTCGGAACCCCCTGGGCAGTCCCAGCCCTGCTGTTTGTTGATCTGGTCTCTCCTTTCTAGGGATGAGAATTGCAAGGTGGCTGCCGTGTGCCCCAGGAGGGGCAGGACCTGGAAACAGGTATTGGGTGGTTACAGAGTTCTGTATTCCTCCTCCCAGGAGAGGATGCTTAATTTGCCAGGTTATTACAGATGCTTCTCAGAGAACCTGCAACTTGTCATAATTTGAAACCACTCACCTTGGCTAAAGGAACCCAGGGGCTTCTGGGCCTTATCTTGGCTCTTGCCAGGACTTATTTTTCTCCTTCTGGCGAATGGGCAAGATGCTGGCCGGTTTTGGGGAAATCTTGGTCTTCCTGTTGTAGGGGAATGTTAAGACTGTCATTATCAGTGATAAATGAACATAGTCTACCCTAAATTTTGCAGTCTGAATTGTCTGTAACAAACACTGAATTTGGGTAGTTTTCACTTCCTCCATCTCTGCCTCCCTCCGCTGTCAAGGTCCTTGGGATGCAGGGAATGCCAGTCAGAATGCAAAATTGGAGTCAATAAAATCACAAAAGAGAATTCTTTGCCTCAGAATGCTCATCCTACCTTCTTGAGTCAACCCAGGACAACTTTGGGGTCAACCACACACTGAGTTCCTTTAGTAGCACAGGGAACTGAGAGTCCAGGGTGGCAGAAGGTGTCAGTGGCAGCTGTGCTCTCCCTGGTGTTGAGGCACTCATGGCTGCTGCTGGTGCACCTGAGAGCCTTCCCCTACCGGGGAATATACTTCACCAGCACCACTTTCTTCCTTTTTTTAGCTTTTTATTTTAAAATACTTTTAATCTCATGGGAAAGGGGCAAAAATACTAAAAAGAATTCCAGGATACCCTTCACTCAGATTCATCCACTAATATCATTTGACCACATTTACTTTATCATTATTTCTCTATAAATACACATTTGTATTTTTTACTGAACCATTTGAGAGTAAGTTGCATACAAGATACCCTTTACCCTTAAATCCATCAGTGCAAATTTTCTAAGAACAAAACATTCTTTTACATAATATAGTACAATTATCCAAATCAGGAAACTTAGACCGATGTAATACTATGATCTAATTGACAGTCCAAATTCAGGTCCTGCCAATTGCCCCATAATGTCCTTCATGACAATTTTTTCCTTTGGTCTAGGATCTCATTTGGCATCCTGCGTTGCATTTAGCTGTCGAGTCTTTTTAGTTTCCTTTAATATGAGTACAGTACCTTAAATGTACTTTGCCTTTCATTATATTGACTTTTTTTTTTTTTTTTTTTGAGACAGTCCAGGCTGGATTGCAGTGGCACGACCTTGGCTCACTGCAACCTCCACCGCCTGGGTTCAAGCAATTCTCGTGCCTCAGCCTCCTGAGTAGCTGGAATTACAGGCGCCCACCACCACGCCTGGCTGACTTTTTGTATTTTAGTAGAGACAGGGTTTCACCATGGTGCCCAGGCTGGTCTCAAATTCCTGAGCTTAGGCAATCCACCCATCTTGGCCTCCCAAAGTGCTGGGATTATAGGCGTGAGCCACCGCACCTGGCCGATACTGGCATTTTTAAGCATACAGGACAGTTGTTTTGTAGACTGTTCCTAAATTTGAGTATGTCTGGTGTTTATGCATTTTTGGGCACAAGTACCAGTGTATCACATTTGGAAGCCCGTGAGCCAGCATCATTTATAATGGTCACCCAGTATTCTACTAGTTCATTTAAACCAATTTCCTATTATAGCATGTTTAGGTGGGTCTCAATTTGCTTTCTGTTTTTTTAGAGACAGGGTCTTGCTCTGTCACTCAGGCTGGAGTGCAGTGGCACGCACATAGCTCACTATAACCTTGAATTCCTGGGCTCACAGCAACCTCCTTCCTCGGCCTCCCAAAGCTCTGGGATTACAGGTGTGTACCACCACACCTGGCCTTCAATTTTTAAACATATAATAAACTGAGCTGTGGTAAATATTCTTTTTTTTTCTTTTTCTTCTTCTTTTTTTTTTTTTTTTTGAGATGGAGTCTCACTCTGTTGTCCAGGATGGAGTGCAGTGGTGTGATCTCGGTTCACGGCAACCTCTGCTTCCTGGGTTCAAGCTACTCCTGCCTCAGCCTCCTGAGTAGCTGGGATTACAGGCACATGCCTGGCTGATTTTTGTATTTTTAGTAGAGACGGGGTTTCATCATGTTATCCAGGCTGGTCTCGAACTCCTGACCTCAGGTAATCTGACCACCTCTTTCGGCCTCCCAAAGTGCTAGGATTATAGGTGTGAGCCACCGCGCCCAGACCTTCGGTAAATATCCTTGAACTTACATATTTGCATGGCTAATTATTGCCTTAGGCTAAATTCTAGAAGTGAAAACCCTGAGTGAAAGGGTGAAGACATAGACTTGTTTTAAAGCTCTTGGTCTCTATGTGTTGCCAAGCCATTCTCCAGAAAGCAGTGAGGCCTTTCTACTCCAGTTAGTAGTGTCTGCCTGTGTCCTTACTCTCGCCAACCCTCCACATTAGAATCCTCGCCACTTTGATAGATGAAATGGTCTCTTATTGCTCCTTTAAACTGCACATTTGTTGTTAAGTGTCAACATTCTTTTTAACTGTTTAATGGCTATTCGTGTTTCCTGTCCATGCTTTTGTGAGTTTCCTGTCCATGCTTTTGTCCCATTGTCCTATTGGTGTCATTGTCATTTTCCCATCACCTTCCTTAGTTGAGGAGGCAACTGTGGGTATGGGGAAGAGGAACCCTAGTGTAAAAGTCCCTGCTTTTGTACTCTCTGGTTTGCTGACTGGGGATTTGGTGCTGGTGAGTAGTGAAAGGAAAATAGGAAGAGACAACAGGTTTCTCATGGAACCGCGAAGACCTTGGTGGAAAGAACTGAACTCACCATTTCTGCAATGTTGACAATCTAACACCATTTGTGGAAAAGGAGGCTGGGGCACTAGGCTGGAGCATGAGAAAAAGGAGAAATTGCAACGGAGACAGAGAGGTGGTTAGGTGGAAGGGAACCAGAAGTGTGGTGGGCAGAAGCTGAGTTTAAAGACAGTGTCAGGAAGCTGCCTGCCCACTTCTTGCTTTATCCTGCTTAAGGTAAGGCAGTGTGCACCTGCTCAGGCATTATGAGCTATGCTTGGGTCCCAGATACTTTTCCTGGCCTCTAAGACCTTACAGCCCAAAGCAGTATTGATGCTCCCCCAAGAGCTTGTTTCTCCTTCCCAATGGCTTCCCAAGGGTTGATACTGACCAGGGTGGTACCATCATCACTACAGTGAACTGCAGCATGCCAGGGATACAGATAGTTCCCTCTGGGAAATGACCCTTTTTCCTACAGTATTTCATCAAATAGAGATTCATTTTATTAAAGGGATTTTCTTTCATTGTATACCCCCTGAGAAGGATAAACCTGTCAGTCATTCACACTTCAGTCATAGGGACTTGTGACCTTAAAAGGTGAACTCCGAGGTTGGCCCTGATAATGTGTCCAAACACAAAGAAGGCAATAGGCCACTGTAGCCATAGAGATAAGCAAGAGTGCCAGGTGCAGCGGTGGCTCATGCCTGTACTCCCAGCACTTTGGGAGGCCAAGGTGGGAGAATCACTTGATCCCAGGAGTTCAAGATCAGCCTGGGCAACATAGGGAAACCCCATCCCTATGAAAAAATACAAAAATTAGCAGGCCGTGGTGATGCACACCCGTTGCCCCAGCTACTTGGGAGGCTGACGTGGGAGGATCACTTGAGCCCAGGAGGTTGAGGCTACAACGAGCCATAATCATGCCACTGCAATCCAGCCAGGGTGACAAGGTGAGACCAGAGTGAGAAAAAAAAAAAAATAAGAAATAAGCAAGAGTAATCCACTCTTGGAGATTATTTGTAAATATATGGTTCGGGAGATATGGAGCCCCCCGTTGCCCCAGGCCCCTCCCTCTCTGCCTCCCTGTTGGTTACTCTTCATCTCGCCAACCTCTTACCATTGTAGTGTCCATGGTTATTCCCTGGGCCTCTTCTAGTTTTCTGTCTCCCTAGGTGATCTCATCCAGTCTCCTGGCTCCCTACCAGATTCAGATACCATCTATGAAGACCACCTTTGTGCTGATGACTCTCAAGATCATACACTTCCCGGAACTCCAGACTTGTACTTCCAAGTACAAGTACCACAAACTTAACATGTCCAGAACTGACCTGATCTTCTCCCTTAACCTTCTCTTCCTTCCTGATAGAATTGAGTTTTGCAGTTCTATTC
Source organism: Homo sapiens (assembly GCF_000001405.40). Classification (NCBI taxonomy): domain Eukaryota; kingdom Metazoa; phylum Chordata; class Mammalia; order Primates; family Hominidae; genus Homo; species Homo sapiens. The sequence goes on from NT_167246.2 coordinate 3,533,500, forward strand.
TTTCCATTGTTTAGGCCCAAATCCTTGAAGATATTGCTGATTCCTCTCTTTTTCTCATACTCCACATCCAAACTGTCTTAAATCCTGTGGACTCTACCTTCAAAATATGTATATCCAGGCCGGGCGCGGTGGCTCACGCCTGTAATCCCAGCACTTTGGGAGGCTGAGGCGGGTGGATCATGAGGTCAGGAGATCGAGACCATCCTGGCTAACAAGGTGAAACCCCGTCTCTACTAAAAATACAAAAAATTAGCCGGGCGCGGTGGCGGGCGCCTGTGGTCCCAGCTACTCGGGAGGCTGAGGCAGGAGAATGGCGTGAACCCGGGAAGCGGAGCTTGCAGTGAGCCGAGATTGCGCCACTGCAGTCCGCAGTCCAGCCTGGGCGACAGAGCGAGACTCCATCTCAAAAAAAAAAAAAAAAATATGTATATCCAGAATCTGAGCACTTCTCATCTCTTCTCATCCCTATTGCCAATATCCTAGTCCAAGCCTATGTCATCTCTTGCATCTCCTAACTTGTCTTCCTGCTGCTGTCCTTGCTCTCCTTGTCCATATCTCTACACAGCAGCCAAAGTGAGTCAGTTGAAATACAAGTTAGGCCACCTCACTCCTCTGCTCAAAAGTCTCCAATCGCTTCTCCACTCACTCAGAGTAAAGCTAACTTTCCTACAGGGCCTGCAAGGCTCTGCACAAGGCCTTTCCCTCTCAATCTCTTTCTCTCTCTCTCTTTTTTTTTTGGTGAGACGCAGTCTTGCTCTGTGGCCCAGGCTGGAGTGCAGTGGTGCAATCTCGGCTCACTGCAACCTCCGCCTCCCCGGTTCAAGCGATTCTCCTGCCTCAGCCTCCTGAGTAGCTGGGACTACAGGTGCGTGCTACCACGCCGGGCTATTTTTTTGTATTTTTAGTAGAGATAGGGTTTCACCGTGTTAGCCAGGATGGTCTCGATCTCCTAACCTACCTGCCTCGGCCTCCCAAAGTGCTGGGATTACAGGCATGAGCCACTGCCCCCCAGCCAAGGCCCTTCCCTCTCTAACCTCATCTTTGATTACTTCTCACCATCCAGCCCCATTAGCTTCCTGCTGTTCTTGAAACAGGCACATTCACACCTTAGAGCCTTGTTCTTCTCACTGCCTGAACTGCTTCCTTCCCCAGCTGTCTTCGTGGCTCTGTCCCTCATCTCAAAAGGCACCTAATCAAGGCCTTCCTTGGCTACCCCATTTCAAAACTGGAAGCCTTCTCTCATGTTCCCCACCCCCATTGGCTTTTCTCCTTATTATTTCTCACCATCTAACTAACATATATTTAATTTATATTTCTTATTTACTGACTGCCAATTCCACAAAGTCAAGGATTTTTGTCTTTTTCATTTACTTGTTTTTGGACTTGACCATGCCTCAGTGTGTGGAGCAGGACCTCAACTCAGCGTGCACTGTCTCACTTAAAATACCCCCAGGAGGAGGGTACCATTACCTCCACCCACAGTGAGATGTGGAGCTCAGAGAAGTTGAGTCACTTGTACAAGTTCATATAGCTACTAAGTGTGTTTCAGATGTGAGTTATTCACATCCAAACCCATGTTCTTTCTACCCTGAGGCGCCATCTGTCTTAGTAGGGTTTATTTTTTGTCATTTAAAAAACTAATGTGGGCATGGCTGGGAAACAAGTTTCTGCTTCGATTACATCAGAAACTACAGATCCAGACATTCTCTTATGCCTTTGCTGACATTCAGTGCAGCATTCAGTAAGTACTGATGCATGTCATTTGCTTATTTACTTATCAGTTCATTTACACAGTATTTATTGAACACAGTCTTTATACCCCGCAATGTTTTAGGCCCTGAATTTATGGTCTTGAACAAAATAGACAGATACCAAGTAAATATGAAATATAATATCAGATAGCGATAAGGAGTATGAGATGATATAAGGCAGGGTGAGGGGAGAGAGAAGAACTTGGGGGCTACTTTAGATTGGGAGGTTGGTCGGGTGCGGTGGCTCACACCTGTAATCCCAGCACTTTGGGTGGTGGAGGTGGGATCATCTGAGGTCAGGAGTTCGAGACTAGCCTAGCCAACATGGTGAAACCGTGTCTCCACCAAAAATGCAAAAATCAGCCAGGCATAGTGGCACACGCCTGTAGTCTCAGCTACTCCAGAGGCTGAGGCAGGAGAACCACTTGAACCTGGGAGGTGGAGGTTGCACTGAGCTGAAATTAAGCCATTGCACTCCAGCGTGGGTGACAGAGCAAGACTCTGCCTCAGGCCGGGCGTGGTGGCTCACACCTGTAATCCCAGCACTTTGGGAGACCAAGGCAGGTGGATCACCTGAGGTCAGGAGTTTGAGACCAGCCTGACCAATATGGTGAAACCCCATCTCTACTAAAAATACAAAAATTAGCCGGGCATAGTGGTGCACGCCTGTAGTCCCAGCTACTCGGGAGATTGAGACAGGAGAATCGCTTGAACCCGGGAGGTAGAGGTTGCAGTGAGCTGAGATTGTGCCACTGCACTCCAACCTGGGTGACAGAGTGAGACTCTGTCTCAAAAAAAAAAAAAAAAAAAAAAAAAAAAAGACTGAGAGGTCAATAAGAGATGGCAACTGTAGTTTCAAAAATAAGTACCAAATTAAACTGCTCATCACCACACCCCTACCATCTCTAATTAGGAATATTGTGATAGCATCCTACCTGGCACCCTTGCTTCCAACTTGCCCCCAACTGTTGGCCCAGGCCATTCTCGATGTGGTGACCAGTGAGAGATGATTGGGGCATGGTGAGTCTGATTTGGAATATATTTTAAAACTAGAGTGGGTATAGTTTGACTGAATAAGGGGTACACAGGTTGGGTCTCCAGGAAGTGGACTTTGAGATTTAACCCGGAGCTGGGATGGCCCTTCAGAGCCATCCCCAACTGGGGCAAGGGAGCTGGGTTTTTGCCCCCCACATTAATCAGTCATGGAAGGTGGGTTGCTCCTAGAAAGAGTGTGACCTTGGGGAAGCAATTATCTTCAGTCCACAAAGAGGGCTGAGAGGTGAGGGCTGTCCTTGAGCAGAAGACTTGGGTAACACTGTCAACTAACTAAGTCTAACGGACATCTATAAAACACTCTGCTAAACAATAGCAGGATATACCATTTTTCTCAAGTGTACATGGAACGTTCTCCAGGATAGGCCATATGCTAGGCCATAAAACACGTCTCAATAATTTTAAAAGGACTGAAATAATACAAAGATGTTCTCTGATCACAATAGAATTAAATTAGAAATCAACAACAACAGGAAATTTGAGAAAATTACAAGTGTGTGAAAATTAAACAGCATGCTTCTAAACAACCAATGGGTGGAAGAAGAAATCACAAGGAAAACCAGAAAATATTTCAAGCTGAATGAAAATTGAAACAGAACATATCAGAATTAATTTTTGACATGTAGCTAAAGCTATGCTTAGAGGGGATTTATAGCTTGTAATTCCTATATTACCTCATACCATACACAAAAAACCAACTTAAAATTGATCATAGACCTAAATGTAAGTGCAAAACTATAAAACTATTAGAAAAAGGCCTAAAAGTAGATATTCATGATGTTGGGCTAGGCAATGATTTCTTACATATGATACTTTCTTACATCTACACAAGCAATAAAATAGTATTTTGTTTTTGGAGACAGGGTCCTGGTATGTCACCCAGTCTGGAGTGCCATGGTGCAATCATAGTTCACTGCAGCCTCAACTCCCGGGCTCAAGTGATCCTCCTGCCTCAGCTTCCTGGATAGCTGGGACTACAGGTGCATACAACCACGCTTGGTTAATTGTTAAATTTTTTTTTTTTTTTTTTGGTGTGGAGACAGGGTCTCACTATATTGCCCATGCTTCAGATAAAATATTGATAATTGGATTTCATCAAAATTGAAAACTTTTGTACTCCAAAAGGCACCATCAAGAAAGTGAAGGCTGGGTGTGGTGGCTTACACCTGTAATCCTAGCACTTTGAGAGGCCGAGGCAGGTGGATCACTTGGGGCCAAGAGTTTGAGACCAGCCTGGCCAACATGGTGAAACCCTGTCTCTAAAAAATGCAAAAATTAGCCAGGCATGGTGGTGCATGCATGTAGTCCCAGCTACTTGGGAGGCTGAGGCAGGATAATTTCTTAAACCTGGGAGTTGGAAGTTGTGGTGAGCCGAAATCATGCCACTGCACTCCCGCCTGGGTGATAGAGCAAGACTCTGTCTCAAAAAAAAAAAAAAAAAAAAAAAAAAGAAAGTGGAAATTGCCTTCATTAAGGAAAAAAACAAACATAAAAATAACAGCAACCATAAGAAAGTGAAAAGATAAACAAAAGCAATAGAATGAGATCAAGTATTTGCAAATCATTTATCAGATAAGGGACTTGTATCTAGAATATAAAAAGAACTTTTATAACTCAATAATAACAATAAAAAATGGGCAAGAGATTTGAATAGACATTTCACCAAAGAAGATATATAAATGGCCATCAAATACATGAAAACATACTGTTTGGGGTTCACTTAGCTTCTTGCATCAATCAGTTAATATCTTTTGCCAAATTTGGGAGTTTTTCAGGCATTGTTTCTTTGAGTACATTTTCCTGCTCCATTCTCTCTCTCTTCTTCTTAAATGCTGATGACAGAACGTTAGTTAGCTCTTTTGTTACAGTCCCATAAATGAACCTCTGTTCATTTTTTTCAGTCTATTTTTCTCCGTTGTCCAGATTGAGTAATTTCTCTTCTACCTTTAAGTTCGCTGAATCTTTCCTCTGTCCTCTCCAATCTGCTGTTAAGCCAATCTATTGAGTCTTCAATTTTCATGATTATATTTCTAAGTTCTAAAATTTCTATTTGATTCTTCTTCTTCTTTTTTTTTTTTTTGGAGATGGAGTTTCGCTGTTTTTGCCCAAGCTGAAGTGCAATGGTACGATCTTGGCTCACTGCAACCTCTGCCTCCCAGGTTCAAGTGATTCTCCTGCCTCAGCCTCCCAAGTAGCTGGAATTCCAGGCACCTGCCACCATGCCTGGCTAACTTTTTGTATTTTTAGTAGAGACGGGGTTTCACCATGTTGGCCAGGATGGTCTTGATCTCTTGACCTCATGATCCGCCCACCTCCGCCTCTCAAAGTGCTGGGATTACAGGTGTGAGCCACCTCACCCAGCCTGATTCTTCTTTATATCTTCCATTTCTTTGCCAAAATTTCTGGTTTTCATTTGTTTCAAGAGAGTTTGTAATTGCTTGTTAAATGTTGTTTTTTTTTTTTTCCTTTTCTTTTTGAGACAAGGTCTTGCTCTGTTGCCCAGGCTGAAGTGCAATCATGGCTCACTGCAGCCTTGACCTCCTAGGCTCAAGTGATCCTCCCACCTCAGCCTTCAAGTAGCTGGTACCACAAGTACACACCACCATGTCTGGCTAATTAAAAACACTTTTTTTTCCAAGGGGCTGGGACCACAAGTACACACTACCATTCCTGGGTAATTATTATTATTATTATTATTATTATTACTATTTTGTTGTTGTTTTTTGTAGAGACAGCATTTCCCTATGTTGCTGGTCATGAACTCCTGGGCTCAAGTGATCCTCCCACCAGGCATGAGCCACTGCACTTGGCTGTAAAGCTTTTTTTTTTTTTGAGACAGAGTCTCACTCGGTTGCCCAGGCTGGAGTGCAGCAGTGCAATCTTGGCTCACTGCAACCTCCACCTCCCAGGTTCAAGTGATTCTCCTGCCTCAGTCTCTTGAATAGCTGGGATTATAGGCATCTGCCACCATGTCTGGCTAATTTTTGTATTTTTAGTAGAGATGGGGTTTTGCCATGTTGGCCAGGCTGGTTTTGAACTCCTGACCTCAAGTGATCTGCCTACCTCGGCCTCCCAGAATGCTGGGATTACAGATGTGAGCCAATGTGCCTGGCCTGTGAAGCTTTTTTTTTTTTTGAGATGGAGTGTTGCTCTGTCACCCAAGTTGGAGTGCAATGGCATGATCTCAGCTCACTGCAACCTCTGCCTCTGGGTTCAGGTGATTCTCCTGCCTCAGCATCCCTAGTAGCTGGGATTACAGGCATGCACCACCATGCCCAGCTAATATTTGTATGTTTAGTGGAGACGGGGTTTCGCCATGTTGGTCAGGCTGGTCTCGAACTCCTGACCTTGAGTGATCCACCCGCCTTGGCCTCCCAAAGTGCTGGGATTACAGGAGTGAGCCAATGTGCCTGGCCTGTAAAGCATTTTTAATACTTGTTTTAAAATACTTGCTTGCTTTAAATATGCATCAGGTGATTCCAACATTTAAGTCAACTTGGGTGTTGATGTCTATTAATTGTCTTTTCTTATTCAAGATTTTCCCGATTCTTGGTATGACAAGTGATTTTCGCTTGCATCCTGCACATTTTGGATTGTATGTTATGAGACTCTGGATCTTATTTAAGTCTGTTTTAGTGATCATCCTTTGACACCGCACTAGTTGAGCAAAGAGGGTGCTGCCTCACTGCTGTCAGGTTGGGGGAGAGGCCCAGGTTCCTCACTTGGCCTCTGTGAACACTTGAGGGAGCCGTGCTCCTTGTTATTGCTAGGTGTGGATGGGGGTTCAGGCTTCCCACTAGGTCTCTGCTGACACACCCTGGCTGAGAGAGTAAGAAGCACCTCATTCCTGTTCCCCACGGGGTCTCCAGTGACACTGGTTGTGATGGAGGGGGATTTCATACCACCAGGCGGGGCTGAGAGTCCCAGCTTCCTACTTGCTGGGGAGAGGTGCCTCAGCTGGGTGGGAGTTGATGGCTAAACTCCCCACTCATCCTTTATTGGCAGATATGGGGGTGAGAGTGTTTTTTTTTTTTTTTTTTTTTTTTGCCTGAAATAGAGTAGTCATTGTCTAAAAGTTTTGTCTTTCCAGGATGTTCCTTTGTTGGTCCTTTGGCCAGAGACTTTCCGGGATTTTTTTCATCTTCCTGTTGGAGTTTCCTGGTTGCTGGCTTTTCCAGCACCCAGTCTTGTATATATGAGGCAAAAGCCAAACCCAGGGAACTCACCACTATATTGTTTTTTCGGGTCTTGAGATTCCTAGCCAGTCTGCCTTCTCTGCATCTTTCAGGATCTTCTTATGTTTGTTTTATATATACCATCCAGGATTGTAGCTGTATTTAGCAGGAGGAATCAGAAGAGCATCTACGTCATCTTGTCTTGGAGCTTGAAGGCAGCTGGTTAAGTCCTTAAAACATTCAACACAGATTTTCCATGTGACTCAGCAATTGGGTTCCTAGGTATCTACCTAAGAAAAATGAAAGCAGGCCAGGTGTGGTGGCTCACGCCTGTAATCCCAGGAATTTGGGAGGCCGAGGTGGGCGGATCACCCGAGGTCAGGAGTTTGAGACCAGCCTGACCAACATGGAGAAACCCCATCTCTACTAAAAATACAAAAATTAGCTGGGCATGGTGGTGCATGCCTGTAATCCCAGCTACTTGGGAGGCTGAGGCAGGAGAATCACTTGAACCCAGGAGGCGGAGGTTGCGGTGAGCTGAGATTGCGCTGTTGCACTCCAGCATGGGCAACAAGAGCAAAACTCTGTCTCAAAAAAAAAAAAAAAGAAAGAAAAATGAAAGCGTATTGTCCACACAAATACTTGTATAAGAATTCATAGCAGTGTTATTCACAATAGGTATGAAGTAAAAACAACCAAATATCCATTGATCAGTGAATTGGTGAACAAAATATGGTGTGTCCCTTTGGGAGGCTGAGGCAGGTGCATCACTTGAGGTCAGGAGTTTGAGACCAGGCTGGCCAACATGGTGAAACCCCGTCTCTACTAAAAATACAAAAAATTTAGCTGGGCATGGTGGTGCACCCCTGTAATCCCAGTTACTTGGGAGGCTGAGGCAGAAGAATTGCTTGAACCTGGGAGGCAGAGGTTGCAGTGAGCTGAGATCACACCACTGCACTCCAGCCTGGGTGACAGAACAAGACTCTATCTCAAAAAAAAAAAAAAAAAAAGGTGTGTCCATACAATGGAATACTATTCAGCAATAAAAATGAATGAAATATGGATACATGCTGCAAAATGAATGAACCTCAAAAACATTATGCTAAGTGAAAGAAGCTAGACTCAAAAGGCTGCAGGAATCCACTTACACGAAATGTCTAAAATAGGCAAATCTATAGAGACAGAAAGATTAGTGATTGTCTAGGGCTCAGGTTTGGAATGGGGGCTAAGTGCAAAGGAATATGAAATTTCTTTTTGGTGTGATGGAAATGTTTCAAAATTAGATTGTGGTGATAGTTTTACAACTCTATAAATATACTAAAATCATTGAATTGTACACTTAAAATGGATGATTTTTTCTTCTTTGAGATGGAGTCTCGATCTGTTGCCCAGGCTACAGTGCAGTGGTGCCATCTTGGCTCACTGCAATCTCCACCTCCCAGGTTCAAGCAATTCTCTTGCCTCAGCCTCCCGAGTAGCTGAGATTACAGGGGGCCACCACTACACCTGGCTAATTTTTGTATTTTTAGTAGAGACGGGGTTTCACCGTGTTGGCCAGGCTGGTCTCGAACTCCTGACCTCAAGTGATCCATCCACCTCGGCCTCCCAAAGTGCTGGGATTACAGCTGTGAGCCACTGCGCCCGACCAAAGTGGGTGAATTTTATGGTATGTAAATTATGCCTCAATAAATCTGTGAGAGGAGAGGAGGTAGAGACATTTTGTGTTGTAGAATTTCTTAAGGAATTTTGCTGTCAAGAGCTGCAGAGAAAGTATGTCTAGCGAGACAGCATATGAGGTCATGAGAAATTTTAAAAAACTCATTATTCCAGAAAATTCATACACATAAATAGAGATAATGAAAAAGAACTCCCATATACCCGTGACCCAGATGCAATAATCATTAATTCAGGACCACTGATGCCTGTAATCCTAGCACTTTGGGAGGCTGAGGCAGGTGGATCACCTGAGGTCAGGAGTTCAAGACCAGCCTGGCCAACGTGGTGAAACCCCGTCTCTAATAAAAAATACAAAAATTAGCCGGACATGGTGGTGCATGCCTGTAATTCCAGCTACTAGGGTGGCTGAGGCAGGAGAATCACTTGAACTCAAAAGGCGGAGGTTGCAGTGAGTCAAAATGGCACTCCGGCCTGGGCAACAGAGCGAGACACTGTCTAAAGAAAAAAAAAATTCAGGACCACTCTGGTTCCATCTCTACTCCCAACCTCCATACCAGATTATTTTAGAACAAATCCCAGATATGATATGATATGATATGACATGATATGATATGATATTGTATCATTTCTATCACAAATATTTCAGTATCCTAAAAGATAAGAACTCTTAAATAATATAACCATTTTGCTAGTATTATTTCTGAAAAGTTTACATAATTTCTTAATATTATCAAATATGCAATGTTTAGTTTTCCCAAATTCTCCATTAAATATATATACAGTTTGAATCAATATCAAAACAATATCCGTGCATTGTATTCAGTTGATATGTGTCTTAAGTCTCTCTTTCTCTTCTTTGAAGTGGAATTCACATTTTAGAACAGTTTTAGATTTATAGAGAAACTGAGAGGATAGTACAGAGTATTCCCATGTGCCCTCCCTGGATTCAGTGTCCCTTATTAATAACATCTTACGTGAGTGTGGGTATATGTGTTATAATTAATGAATCAATATTGATAAATTGGTCGGGCATGGTGGCTCACGCCTGTAATCCCAGCACTTCGGGAGGCTGAGGTGGGCGGATCACCTGAGGCCAGGAGTTTGAGACCAGCCTGGCCAACATGGTGAAACCCTGTCTCTACTAAAAATACAAAAATTAGCCAGGCGTGGTGGAGCACACCTGTAATTCCAGCTACTTGGGAGGCTGAGGCAGGAGAATCACTTGAACCTTGGAAGTGGAGGCTGCAGTAAGCTGAGATCATGCCACTGCACTCCAGCCTGGGCAACAGAGCAAGACTCTGTCTCAAAAAAAAAAAAAGATAAATTATTATTAACGTCCATACTTCATTCATTCAGATTGTCTTAGTTTTCACCTGGTGTCTTTTTGTCTGTTCCAGGATTCCATATTTCTTTTCCTTTTTTTTTTGAGACGAAATTTTGCTCTTGTTGCCCAGGCTGGATTGCAATGGTGTGATCTTGGCTCACTGCAACCTCCGCCTCCTAGTTTCATGCAATTCTTCTGCTTCAGCCTCCCGAGTACCTGGGACTACAGGTGCCCACCACCATGCCCGGCTAATTTTTTTGTATTTTGAGTAGAGACGGGGTTTCCCCATTTGGACAGGCTGGTCTCGAACTCCTGGCCTCAAGTGATCTGCCCGCCTCGGCCTCCCAAAGTGCTGGATTGCAAGCGTGAGCCACCACGCCTGGCCTTCCAGGTTACCATATTTCATGTATTTGTCATGTCTCTTTGGGCCCTCTTGGTTGTGACAGTTTTGCCAGTGTTCCTTGTTTTTGGTGACCTTGATAGTTTTGAGGTGTACTAGTCAGGTGTTATGCAGGCTGCCCCTCTTTTGGAATTTGTTTGGTGATTTTCTCATGGTTAGACTTGGAGCTTAAGTCTCTTTAAATCTTTTTTTACCCCCTTGACATTTATTTGTTGAAGAAATGGCTTGTTTCCTATAGAACTTTCCACATTCTGAATTTTGCTAATTGAATCACTGTACCATTTACCATATTCCTCTGCCTCCCCCATTTTCTTCTTAAACTGGTAGTTAGATTTAAAGACTTTATATGATTCATGATCTATTTTCTGGCAAGGCTACGTCATAGGTGGTATTGTGCTGTGTTTCTATCAGGAGGCATAGAATTCTAGTTGGTAGCCATGATGAGCATTGCTAGATCCATTATTTTCTTAGGGATTATAAAATGCAGATATTCTAAGTCTATTATTCTGTCTAAACTGATTTCATTTATACAGATTATGTCCCATCTACTATTTTGACATGACTTATTTAGGAAAGGCAGATTGATGCCATTCTTTCCCCTTTATTTAGCAGCTTTCAGAATAATGAGTTTGTTCTCTAGCATCTGCCAAAGGTAACCAATGACCCTTTATTTAGTATCACTATGAGTCAGTTGATTTGAATGTGTTTTAATCCGTTGCTATCACTATTTTTACTGAGGCTCCATTTATGCCATATTTGGGCAGTGCGAGCCTCAAGTTGATAAAATACTAATATCTTTGATGCCTTTCTTGTTTTCTGGTGATAAGATGTTCAGGCTCATCTTGTACATAAGCTGCTATATGTTTCTTTTTAGAGGAAATGGTACTAGGAGACCTCAGTTTGGGTGCTGAGGAAGGTTTGTATTTATTCATTTTTTATTTTCTAAGATAGGAGGAATAACATATTTGCTTGCTGATGGGAGTGAGCCACTGCAGAGGGAAAGGCGGTGTGCAGGAGATGGGGTATTGCTGGAGGAATGGCCCTGAGTAGGTGAGAGGCAGTGGGGTCTAGTGCCCAAGTGGAGGAGTTGGTTGTTAGTTGAAAGTGAGGAAGATGAGCTGAGCACATTGGCTCATGCCAGTAATCCCAACATTTTGGGAGGCTGAGGAGGGTGGATCACCTGAGTCAGGAGTTTGAGACCAGCCTGGGCAACATGGTGAAATCTCGTCTCTACTAAAAATACAAAATTAGCCGGGTGTGGTGGTGCATGCCTGTAATCCTAGCTAATTGGGAGGCCGAAGCAGGAGAATCACTTGAACCCAGGAGGCAGAGGTTGCGGTGAGCCGAGATTGCGCCATTGCACTCCAGCCTGGGCCATACAGTGAGACTCTGTCTCAAAAAAAAAAAAAAAAAAAAAAAAGAAAGTGAGGAGGATGGAGGCTGTGTAATGAAATACAAGAAAGTGTGAAATAGTTGCCTTGAAATTCTGTGAGTGAGTGGCCAGGAAAATGCCGTATACTTCTTTTTCTTTTCTTTACTCTAATTCCATCACAGGTTATCTGCTGGGTGTTTCTAATGGCCAACTTGAAGTTTGTAAATGTTTGATGAGCATGGTTGAGTATTTTTATCCAACCACTTCAGCTGCTTGGATGCAGGCATGGAGTCGGTGGGAAGTTGGAGGTAGCCAGAGCTAGGCTTTTGACAGGCAGGCATGATGGAGGGAATGAGGGAAATAGGAGTTGAGATGCAAGATAGCTCTTACAACAATGCTTCATGAAACCTAAGCGGGATAAGGTTGGGAGGGCACAGGATCTCATAATGTCAGGGTCAAAGGGGTTGGAGGTCTGGAGAAGTGAAAATATTGTTTGATCTTTGGAGGTGGACACTAGAGGGAGTGATCTGCAAGGACAGGAAGGGGGATACTTAAAACTGAGATTATGGAGAGGTTTCAGGTACAGGTACAGGTAATGACAAGGTCTAGATATGACTGTGGAGTGAGTGGCTGTGGTAGGGGGAGGACAAGATCACTGGAGGTGAGAAGGTCAAAAGGTCAAGGTGAGAGGCCAGGGTGTTGGGTGGAGTGTCTTGGTTGATAGAGAAGCCACAAAGAATGGTAGCAGGAGTGGGATGAAGAGAAAGACAGTGACCCAGGGACTGAAAATTTTAGTGAATTGTGAAGAGTGAGGAGTGACTGGAAGGCTGTTAAATGCTGGCAACAGGAGCAGCTGAAGGTGACGTTGGAGGCCACATGTACTGCAAAGCAGCTAAGGCCCTGCATTACTCTTGACCACCAGAGAAAAGTTCATGTATTCATTCATTTATTCAAGCAGTAAGTTAACCAAGCTTGACTATCTACCCTGTGCTTAGCAAAACCCTCCCTGCCCTCACAGAATGTATATGTATTCATTACAAAATTGTCCTTATAAAGTCAGGACATCTTCAGGACACTTCCAGTTAATCAGACACCCCCGTCAATCCTTCTAGTTAACTGACAGTTTTTTTGGTTGTTTGTTTAGCAGTGAATTTTAATGAATAAAACATCTGGGATTAAAACTCTTTTTTTTCCTCCATTTTTTGAGATAGGGTCTTGCTGTGTTGCCCAGGCTGGAGTGCAGTGGTGCGATCTTGGCTCACTGCAACCTCTGCCTCCCAGGTTCAAGCGATTCTCCTGCCCTAGCCTCCCAAGTAGCTGGGACTATAGGTGCACACCACCACACCTGACTAATTTTTGTATTTTTAGTAGAGATGGGGTTTTGTTATGTTGGCCAGGCTAGTCTTGAACTCCTGACCTCAAGTGATCTGCCCGCCTTGGCCTCCCAAAGTGCTGGGATTACAGGCATGAGCCACTGTGCTCAGCCATATTAAAACTCTTGTGTAATAAATTCGCAGATATGGAAATCCTTCATTTTCCACAAAAAAACCCCATCCTGTGTAGATACCAGGTGACCTCATCACAAGAGTCAAAATGAAAGTGCTGTCAGCGTGGTGAGAGAGGTGGTGATGTCAGATCACCTGTGGAAGTGAAAGGACCTTGGAGTTGAAAGGAATCTTCAGGATGGTCTTGCCTCTGGCTTTCAAACTTTCTTTTCATCATGTCAAATGTAGAGGAATTTTGTCCATCAAACTCATATCTAGAATCCCAAAATAGAGAAGAGATATAGGATCAGCGCTCTGGCTGAGTCTTTCCCCTCCTGAGACCCCACCCCTACCCAGAGTGACCCTTCAAGGTTGCCATGGGATGTAGGATGCTGGGGAACACAGCCTGGAACTGTTCACTTGGTCCCATTTCTTCTTTTACTGAGGCCCAGAGGGGAGACGCGACCTGCCCAAGGTGACACAGGCTTGGGACCCATGCCCAGTGTCCTGCTTGCTGGTCAGGAGTGGCTGAGGAAAGCAGAGCAGGGGTGAGGTGGGAGGAAAGGGCAGGGCCGCACTGCCTTGGTTCTGGAGCCCTCGCTGATAGCCTTGGGCCTTTTTCACTTGTTTTTCTAACTTTGGGGACAAAAGATTTTCTTTCTTTCTTTCTTTCTTTCTTTCCTTCCTTCCTTCCTTCCTTCCTTCCTTCTTTCTTTCCTTCCTTCCTTCCTTCATTCCTTCTTTCCTTCCTTCCTTCCTTCCTTCTTTCTTTCCTTCCTTCCTTCTTTCCTTCCTTCCTTCCTTCCTTCTTTCCTTCCTTCCTTCCTTCCTTCCTTCCTTCCTTCTTTCTTTCTTTCCTTCTTTCGCAACAAAGGCATGATAAGAAATTTTTTGGTGGGTAGAGCAGAAGAGTATATAATAGTGAAAAAAACACTTAGCTTAGGAGTTTGACACAGTGTGATGTTGGTCAGACTAGCTAACCTCTCTGAGCCTCACTCAGTTCCTTCATCTGTAAAGAGGTTGGGGCTGGCGTGGGTGAGTGGGTGGGTGCTGGATGAAGAGGGAAGGAGATGGACAGGAGGCACCTGGCGGACTTGGCC